>NC_000011.10:35363030-35514545 GCF_000001405.40 Homo sapiens | reverse complement strand
GGGGGCACCTTCAAGCTCCTAGAGTTTGGGTTTTGTTCCCTTTGGGTATGGATGTAGAATTTCTGTTTTTAAAGTAAAGCAGCAGGGGGCAAGATAAATGGAAGAGGGATTAGAGAAAAGGGACTAGGAAATGTAAAAGCAAGTGGGTGGAGCCCACAATGCCATGATATAAACCTGAACAGACTGCTTGAAAAGGCCATGTATGTGTGGGCCCCTGGAGGAGACATTACATCTCGCCTCCTTCGTTCCCTTGCCATCTGTGTCTTTTTCTGTTCTGCAGAGAATAATGGTAATGTCTGACAAATATGCATTTTTTTCTTCAAAAACCCTTTATGCTCATTGTGTTTTTTCAACTGCAGTGACATCAACAATCTCATCCCTGTGCCTCCATCCTCTCGAGGCTGTAGGGAAATGCCGTGGCAAGGTTTCTTGTCCGTGGTTGTCCAGCAGCATAAAGGAGGGGCAGATTCCATGGATGTGGGTTCAGAGTATAGCCCAGAAGATCAGAATCCCTTTCAAGGCCACTAAGAAGTCAGGATTATTATCTTTCATCTTTAGACAAGTGGGAAAGGAGAACCAGTGCAAAGTACAGCTTTACATGGACTGGAGGGAAGGTGCCTTTTTGGTAACGCATTCTCCTGGATATAGTAAAAGCAGCATCACCAAACTGTGATTTTCAAAGGAATATGCTTATTTGAGAGGCAGAGACTTTGCTCCCACCTCCAGAGATTCTGAGGGAAGATGTCTGGACTGTGGTCCAGGAATAAGACTTTTAAGCAAGCATCCCAGGTAGTTTCAATACAGGTGGTCTGGGGAGTGTGTTGTAAATGAGAACATGGGCTTCTGATGCACACAGACTGAGTCCCAGCTCTGCCACTTACTGTATAACCTTGATTAAGGTACTTAATCTTTCTGTGCCTTGGTTTCTTCATATATAAAATGCAAGATAGTAATGCAATTGTGAGGACTAAATGAAAGAACACAGAGAAACACACGGAAAGCACTCGGCATGGTTTCTGGCTCAGAGCAAGCTCTCCATGTAAGTTTATTGTTGTTGTTGCCATTCAGAATGATGAACGACATACCTGAGAGCCAGACCAGCATGATGGTTAATGCTCTCTGACTCTGGAAACAGCCTACTTGGATTTGAATCCTGTCTCTGCTACTTACTACTTGTGAGTATTTAACCCCTCTGGACCTCAGTTTTCTCATCTATAAATAGAAGTGTTAATTGTCCCTATGCTATAGGGTTGTTGTAAGGATTAAATGAGATGATATAGATGAACAACCTAGAACTGTGTCTGGTATATAGAAAGTGCTGTGAAGGTGTTTGCTATTAGTATCTGAAACAGGTTATTCATCAACCATTTTCAGTGATCTCAGAATATAACAATATCTCCCCTAAACTTTCCTTTGGTGTCACTATTGGAAGCAGAGCTCTGTTCTGAATAGACTACTGATAAGACTCAGAGCATGATTGTTGATCTTAAACATGATAACACTAAGTGCTTACTGAGCATCCTGCTCGCCACTTTCCTTTATTTATTTATTTTTTTAGACAGGGTCTCACTCTGTCACCCAGGCTGGAGTGCAGTGGTGTGATCACAACTCACTGCAGCCTCGACCTCCCAGGCTCATGCGATTCTTTCACCTCAGCCTCCTGAGTAGTTGGGACTACAGGCACATGGCACTATGCCCAACTAATTTTTATATTTTTAAAAGATGGGGTCTCGCTGTGCTGTCCAGGCTGGTGTCAAACTCCTGGGCTCAAGAGATCCTCCAGCTTCAGCCTCCCAAAATGCTAGAGTTACATGCATGAACCACCATGCCCACCCTAACCATTTTCCTTTTATTAGGTTTTGTATACTCATCACAACCATGAAGAAGTACTATTATTACCCACATTTCACAGACGAGAAAACTAAGAAGTTTAGTGACTCGCCCAAGGCCACCTGGGAACTGGTGGAGCTGGGATTCAAATTTGGGCAGCCTCATTTCTGGATGTTTCTACTCACCAATGCTGCTTTCTTCTTCAACTGTAAAGTCAGAGGCATGAACTCTCAGGAACCAATTATTGTGTTGGAAAGAGCAAGGCTTTGGCCCCAAAAAGCTGAGTTCTGATCTTTCTTTTCACCTGAAAGCCGTGTTACCTGGGGCAATTTATTTACCCTGTTTCCTTATCTGCTAAATGAAGAAAATAACCTACCTCAAAGGGAGGTTATGAGAATATAATGAGCTGGTATGTGTCAAGGGCTCATATATATCCTTAGTGGGTGCTGGGTGTAGAGGAGGATGAATGAAAAGCCACAGTGTGAGACAGTGTGCTTAATAAAGGATGAGAAAGGAAAGAAAGCAACACATTCATTTTCGATCCTCTACCTCTCCTCAGGGTACATGATAAAAAATCAGATTTCTAGCAAATCCATTGAAAGTTTTATCACTCCTGGTACCCAAAGGGAGGGTGATGATGGCCTTGATTCTCCAGCTGTCAGTATGCTGTTAACAGGAGCAGCTGTGAGAAGGAAGGAGAAGACTGAGGTCACCGAGGTTGAGATCCAGCCAGGCTAGACTGAGGGTCACTTGGTGACAGGTTGGCTCTCAAAAGCTCAGGGGGAGGGATAGAATCACCAAGAGCCCCAGCAAGCAATCTGTCGCCTCTGACTCACAGTCTCATCATTCCTGCTTGGCCTTGTCGGTGTCATCAGCCCCATGGAGCCGGTGGTCAGATCCTCCAGCGGTTAGGAATGTTGTGTGCTGCTTAGACATCAATACCAGAGATTCAGACAGCACAAGATGAGGGGGCAGTGAGTAGGGATGGGTGAGGAGCCCAAGCTGCCTAGTTGTATCTCTCTCTGTTTCCTATGTCCTTTTTTCTCCCTCTGGTCTCAGAAAGTTTATAGAATTCAGACGGTAAAAATAAAACCTCAGTAGAAATTTTAATTAAATGTGGTTAGAAGGGAGAGCTGTGGGGCTTTTGGTGGACTCAAAGGTAGGTTTTAACATCAAGGAAGAGGAACAGGCACATGACAAAAGTGTCTTTCTTTGCCACCTTCTGGGGTGGTCTTGGCCAGGGCCTTTAGTCTGACATCTGATGTTTCTATTTGGTCTGGAACAGCCTGACCCTTGTGTTTGTACAGAATCCTCAGAGTCTTTTCAGGTTGACCTTAACAGCCATCATGGCAACATATTTTCTTAAAATATAATGTTGAAGACATTGCACTTGCAGACGATGCCTGAGGGGCACATTTGCTGCTCCTGTCCTTCTGCATAGCTAAGCCCCTGCTGTTTGAGGGATTACATGCTTCTCCATCTATCAGCAGTAGAAACGGACCAGTATTGGATAGTTGTAAAGCACATTTTGTCAGCCTGGTGAGGGGCTGTGCAAGATGATGATGATTATGACAGCTTTCTTTCACTCACTCATTCATTCATTTGTTTACTAAATATATGAAAGCTGAACCTGTGCCAGTTGGTCAGCATTGTTTTCAATGACTTGCTATTCTCATTGATGAAACAGGACCAAGAGGTTAAATGTCTTACATTTGCCAAAGTGAATTCTGAAAGGAACAGGGCTGGACTAATATAACTGGACTTCCCACTTTAGATAGGAGATGCCAGGATGGCTGCCCATAACCATGGAAGTTGAGAGAAGTGTTTGGACTTATGATGCCAAAATACTTTGCAACTGTCTTAATATTTTTTTATTCTGATTTTAAAGAGGGGATCAGGGGAGCACTTGCACACATAGAATAATTATGCAGCAATTTAAAATTTCGTATAAAGACTATTCAATGCCAAGAGAAAACGTTCGTGATACAAGAAAAGAAACAGTTTCTAAAATAAAACATATTACCAATTTTGAGAGATAATAAGACTCTATGTTTATACATTTGTTAATACCTACATGTGGATATATATGCCCATTGAAAACATGACTTGAAGGATAGACATCAAAATGTTGACATCTTTTCTGAATACCTTTAATTTCCTTATTTAGACTTTCCTTCATTTTCCAAACATTTTCACAAGGAACTCTTTTTTTGGGGGGATAAAAAGTGTACTGTTTCCGGGGGTGGGGGCGGGGAGGGTTGTGCAGGGATGAATAGGCAGAGAACAGAGAATTCTTAGGGCAGTAAAACCACTCTGTAGGATACTCTAATGGTGGGTACATGTCATTAGACATTTTTCCAAACCCATAGAATGTATAAGACCAAGAGTGAACCCTAATGTAAACTGTGGGCTCCAGTGATAATGATGAGTCCATGTAGGTTCATCAGTTGTAACAAATGCACAGCTCTAGTGGGGATGTTGATAATGGGGAGGCTGTGCAATTGTGGGAGGGAGGGTATGTGGGGAATTTCTATACCTTCTTCTTAATTTTGCTGTGAACCTAAAATTGCTCTAAAAATGAAGTCTTAAGTGTTTTATAAAGAAAAAAATATTTTATCCAATGGAAGAGCTAGTGATGAATGAATGTGTGTAGCACCCAGAACTCCCTAAGCTTGATTTTGCTGTGTGATCATGGGCATATGCTTGTTTTCTCAGTGCCTTGGTTTATCCCAGTGTGGGGTCTATGAGTTCTTTGTGTTTTCTTTGTGCTTATTCATTGGGAAGCACCGACAAGGTAAAATTTATTTGCAGCTTTCATAAGGCTTTGCCTTTAAATGTGAAAAGCAAAGTTAAGTTTGCTCAATTCCAGTAGCTGGCAAAACTACAAGTTGGCCCAGCTCTTTCCTCCTAAGTAGGAGGCTTGTTCACTGCCCCTCTCCCTACCCCTGGAATTCTGTGAACCCCTCTTTTCTCCCAGAATTAATTCTTTAAAAAAGATTCTTTGGTATTTCTCTTTGTTTCAATAAATAAGACCAATCCTTCCCTACTTCACCCTTTTCTTCACTGGTAAAGTGAAGGAGTTGGGTTAAATAATTTTAATTTAAAATAAAATTTATTAGCAACTTAACTAGATCATTTTTAAGATTAAATTGCATTAAGAATTTAAAAACATTTTAGCTGAAATAATGTTAAATTGCTTTAGCATACATACAGGAAAACATTCAATAATTTCTACTGCTGTTGATATTGCTCTAAATCCTAGTTTCTGGAACTGGCCCTTAGCACCACATTGAAATTCCCTGAAATTTGTACAGCTGAAGCCAAATGGCCAATGTGGCCCTTCCACAAATGTAATTATGATCAAGGGGAAAAAAAATGCAAGCAACAAGATGTTGCTCTTGTCTATTTATTGAATTTTAAAATGTCTTTAGCTGGTTAACTTGAAATATTTCTCAAAATATATTTCATGTATCTATTTCTTACACATTCATTTTTCGGGGGTACTTTTCTGTCTCTACTCAAGCTGGGAGAGAAAGAGGGATAGTGGATTTATCAAACCAGAGGGGAAGGAACAAAGTTACAAAATCATCCAAACCATCACCTCCATATTGCTTGGAACTGGTTTTATTTTTGCAAATATAGTCATGTGCTATATAATGACATTTTGGTCAATGACAGACTGCATATATGATGGTGTTCTCATAATTTTTTAATAGAGGGCACTATTCATAATAGCAAAGACATGGAGTCAACCTAAATGCCCATCAATGGTAGACTCAATAAAGAAAATGTGGTACATATACACAATGGAATACTACACAGCCATAAAAAATGACATCAAGTCCTTCACAGCAACATGGATGGAGCTGGAGACCATTATCCTAAGTCAACTAACACAAGAACAGAAAACCAAACACTCCATGTTCTCACTTATAAGTGGGAGTTAAACAGTGAGTACACATGGATTTGTATCCACGTGTTCCACAAGGGAACAATGGACACTGGGGCCTACTTGCAGGTGGAGGGCGGGAGGAGAATGAGCATAAAAAGATATCTCTTAGGTACTATGCTTATTACCTGGGTGATGAAATAATCTGTACACCAAACCTGCATGATACATAGTTTACCTACATAAAAAAACCTGTGCATGTACCCCTGAACCTGAAGTAAAAGTAAAAAAAAAAAAAAAAAAAAAAAAATGGAGGTTCCTGCTTCCAAAATGGTGGCATAGAAGCAAGCTAGCTTTACTCTCCTGACACAAAACCAAAAGTAAATATATAGCACTGAGATTTTCAGTAGCAAAGTCCCAGAACTCAAATATGGGGATGACTGAGTTTCAAGGGCCACAGAGAAGTGAAAAAACTCTGAGCAGATGGTAAGAGAATTGAACTTCCATATCCATAATGTCCCTCTCCACAGTCTTCCCAACACAAAGCATGTTGAAAATTTTCTTCTGACTCATGGTTTCTACACTGGAAAAACTGATATTGAGGTGGATAACCAGCTTCCCCACCATCTTGGGTTCTTTGACAAGAGATCCTTTCCTGCCTCAAAGTGCACAGGAACCATTGTAAGTACCTGAAGGGAAAAATACCCCTGGCAACAGCAAGAGACAAGCCAGAGAAAGAAAGGACTACCATCCACAGCCCTGGAAATTCTGCTCTTTAACGCAGCAAAAAGAAACACCAAATCAGAGTGGTGATTCAGTGGCACTATGCTGCAGGAGGTACATCCACAAGTTCCCCAGGCATGAACTCCTAGCCAGCCTTTCAAAACTATTGGGATATTCCTTTTGGGAATTCCCCAATTTGGAACAGGCAGTTTTCTGTTTGTTTACTAGAGCCAAGGCAAATCTGGGCTTAAGACACCATCTACTGCCCAAAAAGAAGTAGCAACTCAGCAGGAAAAAAAAAAAAAAGATTTCAATAGGTAAATTACAAAGAATTTCTAAGCAAACATACCCAGTAAAAAATAAAACAAGCCATACAGAGACGACTAAAATAAATAATCCTTCAATGCAAAAACAAAGATGTGCACAAAAAACAACAGCAAACAGGGAACCATGACTTCCCCAAATGGACAAAACAAGGGAGAGTGACTGACCCTAATGAGATGGCAATATGTGAGCTCTGACCAAGAATTTAAAATAGCAGTTTTAGAGAATCTCAGTGATTGCTAAGATAACACAGACTATTAATTCAGAAATTTATCAGAAAAATTTCACAAAGAGATTAAATAATAATAAAGAAACCAAACAGAAATCTTGGAACTGAGAAATACATCTGCTGAACTGAAAAATTTGAGGCTTTCAACAGCAGAATGGATCACACAGAGGAAAGAATCAGTGAGTTCAAAGTCAGGCTATTTGAGGCTGGGCATGGTGGCTCATGCGTGTAATCCCAGTGCTTTGGGAGGCCAAGGTGGGCAGATCACCTGAGGTCGGGAGTTCAAGACCAGCCTGACCCACATGGAGAAACCCCATCTCTACTAAAAATGCAAAATTAGCCGGGCTTGGTGGTGCATGCCGATAATCCCAGCTACTTGGGAAGGCTGAGGCAGGAGAATCGCTTGAACCTGGGAGGCAGAGGTTGCAGTGAGCTGAGATTGCACCATTGCACTCCAGCCTGGGCAACAAGAGCAAAACTCTGTCAAAAAAAAAAAAAAAAAAAAAAAAAAGTCAGGCTATTTGAAAATAGAGGAGAAAAAAGAAAGAAAAGGAACAAAGATGATTTGTACAATATAGAAAATTACCTCAAAAGAATAAATCTAAGAATTATTGGTATCCGAGAGAGAGTTGAACAAGAGCAAAGCGTAGAAAGCTTATTCAAAAAAAAAAAAAAGAACTAAAAAACTTTCTAAACTTAAGAAAGATATAAATATCCACATGCAGGAAGGTCAGAGAACACCAAACAGGTTTGACCCAAATAAGACTACCCTAAGGCACATGCTAATCAAACTCTTAAAAGTCAAGGACAAAGAGAGGACCCTAAAAGCAGTAAGAGAAAAGAAGCAAATAACATACAAAAGAAGCTCCAATTTGTCTGACAACAGACTTCTGAGTGGAAACCACTCAGGTCATGGGGGAGGAGGACAACATGTTCAAAGTGCTGAAAAAAAAACAAACCCTGCCACCCAAGAATATGGCATCCAGCAAAGCTACCCTTTGAATAGGAAAAAGAGATAAAGTCTTTCTCAGATAAACAAAAGCTGAGAGAATTACCACCACCAGACCCATCTTACAAGAAATGCTAAGAGAAGTTAGTTAATCTGAAAAAAAAAAACACCAAAAAACAAAAAAAAAACACTAACATGCAAAAAAAATTTTTTTTGAAGGTATAAAACCCACTGGTAAAATTAAATACACAGATAACCCCAGAATACTCTAATACTAAAATTGTGGTGGGTCATTCACTCATAACTCTAGTATGAAGCCTAAAAGACAAATCTGTCAAAAGCAATAATAGTACAGCCATTTGTTAAGAAATAGGCAGTGTAAAAATATGTAAATTGAGACAACAAAAAGTTAAAATGTGGGAGGGATGGAATTAAATTGTAGAATTTTTTAAAAGCTGTTTTCTTTCTTCCTGTTTTTTTTTTTTAGTGATCTAAGGTAAGTTGTCATCTGTTTAAAATAATTTGTTATATCTATAAGATATTTTTGTAAACCTCATGGTAACTCAATGAAAAAAAATCTGTAATAGATACAGTAAAAATAAAAAGCAATGAATTCAAACATACTACCCGAGAATAACCCTTAACCACAAAGGAAGACAGTAAAAAAGGAACAAAGGAAGAGATGAGTTACATGACAGAGAACAAGCCACAAAATGGCAATAGAAGTACTTACTTATCAATAACAACTCTAAATTTACATGAGCTCAATTCTCCAAAACTAAAAGACATAGAATGACTGAATGGATAAGAAACAAGACTCAATTATATGCTGCCTACAAGAAACCCACCTCACTTATACAGATACAGACTGAATGTGAAGGGATGGCAAAAGAAATTCTATGCAAGTAGAAACCAAAAAAGAGCAAGAGTGGTTATACTTCTATCTGATAAAATAGCATACATGTTAAATACTGTGAAAAGAGACAAAGAAGGTCACTATATAATATGAAGAAGTCAATTCAGCAAGAGGATATAACAATTATAAATATCTATGCACCCAACAATGTATGCACCCAACAATAGAGCACCCAAGTATATAAAGAAAACATTAATAGATCTAAAGGGAGAGTTAGACTGCAATACAATAACAGTAGGGGACTTCAACACCCTACTCCCTGCAATGGACAGATCATTCAATCAAAAAATAAAGAAACATTGGAGTTAAACTACACAGTAGACTAAATGGATCCAACTGACATTTACCCAGTAGATTTCACCCAGTTGCTACAGAATACACATTATTTTCATCAGAACATGGAACAGTCTCCAGAATAGACCATAAAGCAACTCTCAACAAATTCAAAACAGTTGAAATTATATCAGTTATCTTTTCTGACCATAGTGGAATAAAACTAGAAATAAATAACAAGAGGAACCTTGGAAAATATGCAAATACATGGAAATTAAACAATGTGCCTATGAATGACAAATGGGTCAATAAAGAAATTAAGAAAGAAATTTAAAAATTTCTTCAAACAAATCAAAATGGAAATACAACATACCAAAATCTATGGGGTACAGCAAAAATAGTATTAAGAGGGAAGTTTGGAGCAATAAACACCTACATCAAAAAAGTGGTAGGACTTCAAATAACATAACAATGCACCTCAGGGAACTAGAACAACAAAAAAACCCAAAGTAAGTAGAAGGAAATAAATATAAAGATTAGAGCAGAAATAAATTAAATTGAGACTAAAAAAATTAAGAAGAGCAATGAAACAAAAAGTTGGTTTTTTGAAAAGATAAAATCAACAAACCTTTAGCTAAAATTAAAAAAAAGAGGAATCCCAATTAAATAAAATTAGAAATGAAAAAAGACATAACCAAGACCACAGAAACACAGAGAATTATTAGAGACTATTATGAACAACTATAATCCAACAAATTGGAAAACCTAGAAGAAATGGATAAATTCCTGGGCACTTGCAACCTACCAAGGTTGAACCAGGAAGAAATAGAGAACCCCAACAATCCAATAATGAGTAACAAGGTTGAAGCTGTAATAAAAAGTCTCCCATCAAAGAAAAGCCCAGGACCATCTGATGGCTTCACTGCTGAATTCTACCAAACATTTAAAGAAAAATTAATACCAATTTTCCTTAAACTCTACCAAAAAAATTGAAGAGGGAATATTTCCAAACTCATTCTATGAGGCTAGCATTGCCCTATTATCAAAACCAGACGAGGATAGAACAACAGCAAAAAAGATAACTAGAGGCGAATATCACTGATGAGCCCAGATGCAAATAACTTCAACAAAATGCTAGCGAACTGAATTCAACAACACATTAGAAGGATCATTCACCATGATCAAGTGGGATTCATCCCAAGGATGCAAGGTTGATTCAAATAATATGCAAATAAACAGACATGATACATGCATCAAAAAAATCAAGAACAAAAACCATGTGATCATTTCAATAGATGCTGAAAAAGCATTTGATAAAATTCAACATCCCCTCATGATAAAAACCCTGAAAAAACTAGGCATAGAAAGAACATAGTCCAAAATAATAAAGGCCATATGTGACAAACCAACAGCCAATATCATATTTAATGGGGAAAAAAATGGAAAGGTTTCCCTCTAAGATTGGGAACAAGGCAAGGATGCCCACTTTCACCACTTTTATTATTCATTATAATACTGGGAGTCTTGGCCAGAGCAATTAGACAAGAGAAAGAAATCAAGGACATCCAATGTGGAAAGGAAGAAGTCAAATTAGCCTTGCTTGCAGACCAAATAATCTTATATTTAAAAAAAATCTAAAGACTCTACCAAAAAACTGTTAGAACTGATAAATGAATTCAGTAAAGTCATAAAATACAAATCAACCTATAAGAATCAGTAGCATTTATATACACCAACATAATCTGAAAAACAAATCAAGAAAGTAACCCACTTACAATAGCTACAAAGAATATAAAATACCTAGGAGTCAATTTAACCAGAGCAATGAAAGAGCTATACAAGGAAAACTATGAAACACTGATGAAAGAAATTAAAGAGGTCACAAAAAATGGAAAGATATTGCATGCTTATGGATTGGGAGAATTAATACCATTAAAATGACAATACTACTCAAAGCAATTTATACTCAAAGCAATACTACTCAAAGCACTGAATCTTCAGTGCAACTCTTAATCAAAATACCAATTACATTCTTCACAGAAATAGAAAAAACAATCCTAGAGTTGATATGGAATCACAAATGATTCTGAATAGTCAAAACAATCCTGAGCAAGAAAAAAAAAAAAAAAGCTGGAGACATCACACTACATGACTTCAAAGTACACTACAAAGCTGTAGTAACCAAACCAGCCTGGTACTTACATAATAGTAGACACATAGACCAGTGAAACAGAATACAGAACCCAGATACAAGCCCACATTTCTTATAGCCACCTCATTTTTGACAAAGGTACCAAGAACATACAATGGGGAAAAGAACAGTCTCTTCAATAAATAGTGCCAGGAAAACAGGATATGTATATGCAGAAGTATGAAACTTGACCGTTATTTCTTATACATAAAATCAAATCAAAATGAATTAAAAACTAAATCCAACATGAAACTATGAAGCTACTAAAAGTAAACATTGGGGAAATGCTCCAGGACATTGATCTGGGCAAAGATTTTTTGGGGAAAACGTCAAAAGCACAGCAATGAAAGCAAAAATTGACAACTGGGATTATTAATACATGAAGCTTAAAGGCTTCTGCACAGCAAAGGAAACAATCAACAAATTGAAGAGACAACCACAGAATGAGAGAAAATATTTGCAAGCTATCCATCTGACAAGGGATTAATAAGCAGAAGATACAATGTGCTAAAACAACTCAATATCAAAAAAAATCTGATTTAAAAATGGGCAAAACCATCAATGAGAGACTGGACAAAGAAAATGTGGTACATATACACCATGGAATAGTATGCAGCCATAACAAGGAACGAGATCATGTCCTTTGCAGGGACATGGATGAAGCCAGAAGCCATTATCCTCAGCAAACTAACACAGGGACAGAAAACCAAACACTGCATGTTCTCACTTATGAGTGGGAGCTGAAAAATGACAACACATGGACACAGGGAGGGGAATAACCCACACTGGGGCCTGTTAGAGGAAGGTGGGTTGGGGGAGAGCATTAGGAAAAAGAGCTAATGCATGCCAGGCTTAATACCTGGGTGATGGATTGATAGGTGCAGCAAACCATCATGGCACATGTTTACCTATGTAACAAACCGGCACATGTTGCTCATGTACCCCAGAACTTAAAAATTAATTAATTAATTAATTAAATTTAAAAATGGGCAAAAGATCTGAATAGACATTTCTCAAAAGTAGACATACAAATGGCCAGCAGGTATATGAAAAAAATGCAGAGAAATGCAAATGAAAACCGCCATGAGATATCATCTCAACCCAGTTAAAACGGCTTTTATCAAAAAGACAGGCAATAACATGCTGGTGAAGACATAAAGAGGGACCCTGGTACAGTGTTGGTGGGAATGTATATTAGTGCAGCCATTATGGAAAACTGTATGGAGGTTTCTCAGCAAACTAAAAATAGAACTACCATGTGATCCAGCAATTCCGCTACTGGGAATATATCCAAAAGGAAATATATCAAAGAGACATCTCCACTCTTATGTTTATTGCAGCACTATTCATTATAGACAAGATATGGAATCAACCTAAGTACCCATCGGTGGATGATTGGTGAAAGAAAATGTGGTGCCTATATATAAGGGAATATTATTTATTTATACGAAAGAATGAAATCCTCTTATTTGCAGCTACATGGATAGAACTGAAGGTTATCATGTTAGGTGAAATAAGCAAGCACAGAACCATAAATATTGCGTGTTCTTACTCATATGTGGGAGCAGTGATCCTGATCCTGTGTAGGCCTAGGCTAATATGTATGTTTGTGTCTTAGTTTTCAAGAAATAAGTTTAAAAAGTAAAAAAAAAATAATAATAATTAAATTAAAAACAGGAAAAAACATATAGTATAAAAACATAAAGAAAATATTTTTGTACAACTGTACTTGTATTTGTGTTTTGAGCTGTTGTAAAAGACTCAAAAAGTGAACACTAAAAAGTTTATTGGCTGGGTGCAGTGGCTCACACCTGTAATCTCAACACTTTGGGAGGCCAAAGCAGGTGAATTACTTGAGCCCGGGAGTTCAAAACCAGCCTGGGCCACATGATGAAACCCTGTCTCTACAAAAATAATACAAAAATTAGCTGGGCCTGGTGGCACATGCCTGCAGTTCCAGCTACTTGGGAGGCTGAAGTGGGAGGATCACTTGAGTTTGGGAAACAGAGGTTGCATTGAGCCGAGATTGTGCCACTGCACTCCAGCCTGGGTGACAGAGTGAGACCCTGTCTCAAAAAAAAAAAAAAAGAAAAAAAAAGGTTATAAAATTAAAAAGTTACAGAAAACTAAGGTTAATTTATTACTGAAGCAAATATTTTTGATAAATTGAGTGTGGGCTAAGTGTATGGTGTTTATAAAGTCTACAGTAGTGTACAGTGATGTCCTAGGCCTTCACATTCACTCACCACTCACTGACTCACCCAGAGCAATTTCCAGTCCTGCAAGCTCTGTTCATGGTAAGTGCCTTATATAGCTGTTCCATTTTTTAAATCTTTTATACCATATTTTTTCTGTTTAGATATGTTTAGATACACCAGTACTTACTGTTGTATTACAATTGCCTATAGTATTCAGTACAGTAACATGCTGTACAGGTTTGTAGCCTGTGTGTAGGTGTGTAGTAGGCTATGCCACTTAGATTTGTGTAAATACACTCTGATGTTCACACAACGATGAAATTGCTTAATGACACATTTCACAGAACGTATGCCTGTCATTAAGTGATGCATAGCTGTAGATGGATTTCTTTCTGTAATTTTATTTAAACCTCCCTAACCCGACGAGGTCGGTAGATTTGGTGCTAATGCCCCTTCATGACCACTCATTCATTCTTATAGCATTCTAAGTTTTCCCTGTTGTGGTTTATGATTATGTATTTGTGGGGTCGTTTGACCAATGTCTTCTCTATTGAACTGTGAGCACCATCAGGCTAGTGATGATGTCTATTTTTTTTCTATTGTATTCCAGCGCCCCATCTCTTGCCTAGGATGTAGTCAACACTCAATAAATACTTGAAAAACAAAAGAATGAGTTCATCGATTCACCCTTGCTCTTGGCATTGTGCTCAGTGGAGAAAATGAGGAACAGAGTGATTCAAAGACTTGCTGTGGGCTAACCTTTCTTTCAAGAAGTCCCAGTATGTTAGTCCCCTACTGATACTGTAACAAATTACCACAACTTTAGGGCTTTAAAACAGCACACATGTATTACCTTCCAGCCGTGAAGGTCAGAAGTCTAAAATGAATCTTACAAGACTAAAATCAAAGGGTTGGCAGGGCTGCATTCCTTCTGGATGCTCCACAGGAGAAGCTGTTTATTTGCCTTTTCAGACTTCTAGAGGTTGCCTGCCTGCCTCCTTGGGTTGTGGTTCTACAGTCCATCTTCAAAGTACATCACTCCAACCTCCATTTCTGTCGGCACACCTCCTTTCTGACTCTGACCATCCTGCCTCCCTCTTACGGGGGGCCTTGTGATTACATTGGTTCCACCTGGATATTACAGCATATGCCTCTCATCTCAAAATTCTTAAACTAGTCACATCTGTAAAATCCCTTCTGCCAGGATTCCCTGGGGTCATTCCCTTAGACTGAGATGGATCTTACCTATAAAGTAAATAATAATGAAGTAAAGAGGGCAGAGGTGGGCTTGCTCATTGGAGTAAAGAGAAATGGATCTTATCTATAGAGTAAACAGTAATGGAGTAAAGAGGGCTGAGGTGGGCTTGCTCACTGGAGTAAAGAGAAATACCAATAAAGCTATTTTAGGGAATTAATTCCTGGGTAAAAGGGAGACCCCTGGCATGTGACAGGCCGGAGGTGAACGAATCTGCTGCTTAGGGGGAAACAGGGAGTGGAACAAACCTTAAATGGCCTTCCATGTTGATGTACAGAATCTTATAAAAGTTGCAAATTATTTATCCTGTTGGTGTCCTCCCTTGAGTTATTAGTATTTACAAAATTATTAGAAAACCTAGAAGGATGTAGTGCTTGCCGCAGGGTGAATAGAGGGAGGGGGTGAGGCATGAGCCACACCCCATGGGCATATTCGCTGTTCAGAGAGTGGAACGAACATACATCTGTACAGGGTGGGGGCTGGAGTCCAGAAATATGAACCCAAGGCAGGCCACCTGGACCCCCATGTCTAGATACCTCGCTGTGGGAGGAAAGGCACCCAGCTCTGGTATCAACAAGTTAGAGGCAAAGCTGGCTCTCCTGGCTCATGGCTCCAAGCTGAACCCACTGGATGGAAATATTTGACTAGTGAAGGAAGGGTAGCTCTTAAGTTCAGGCCGAATTCATTCAACAGATATTTATTCAGCACCTCTGTGTGCCAGCCAGCCCTGCCCTGGCAGTGGTGAACAGGTTTGATGTGGCTCCTGTTAGCTTATGGGCATGTAAGGGAGGCAGACAGTCAGCAGGTAAATGAGAACAGAAAACGATTCTCAACTGTGGTAAGGACCAGGAAAGGAAACACATAGGATAGTGAGACAGAAATAACCACGGATGGGATCGAAGGGGTGTGCATTTTGGAGGGGAAGGCCAGGGAGGACCTCTCTGAACAGGCGTCATTTACGTGAAGGCCTGAGACGGAGGCCTTGGGAGAAGCAAATGTGGAGTCCCAAGGTGGGCCAGAGCTTGGTGGTTTTGAGAAATGGAGAGAAGGTGGGAAACAGTGGCCAGGAAAAGGTGGACGGAGTCGGGTGAGCATAGGCCTCAAAGGCCTTGTGGGCTGGGGCAGAGAATTTGAGGGTTACTGCAAAAGCGATGGGAAGCAAGGTGACCATTTTAAGCAAGAAATTGATCTGACATACGTAAAAAACCATATCCTTGAGAAATATGAGCATTCTCTATTGTTTTTCTTTTTTTCTTTCTAAGCTATTAGTTTCTGAATGTTTAGTACATACTGGGTGCTGTGCTAAGCTGTTTATATGCATTATTTTGTCTAGTATTTTCAACAGGCCTAAATTGGAGAAAATGTACACTCATTTTACTGGATACTAAACTGAGACTGAGAGAGTAACGTAGCTTTGCCAAGGCAAGTAGCAGAGGGAGATTCCAAATGCAGGTCTGTTGACTCCCATGTTTGAGCCTCTAACCAATTTGTTCTCTCTCACTCTCCCTCCTCGACTTTTCACAATTAAAAAATTGTGGTAATATATATGTAGATAACATAAAATGTGCCCTTTTCTGGTATCACAAATACCAAAATTTGAATAATTTGAATAATGGGCTATACCACATGGATTTACAAAACTACAGCATATTATTAATAACACACATTCCACTAGGAAAACTTGGCACAGGTAGGAGCATGTGATGTAAACAAGAACTTGCACAGGATTCATAGTCTTTGCTACTTTCAAGTAAGCTTGGTTTTTGTCCTGTGCATATGGCCTGTGTTTATTTCCATCCTGTGGCCTTTGGGTATGCTATCCTTTCTAACTGGATGGCTTCCCTTCATTCTCTCAGCCTTTGAAAATATGATTTTTTTCTATGTTAAAAAGAAGCTATATATATAAAAAAAGAAAGCTGTATTGAGTTATAATTTTTAGATATTTTACTTGCAATGAGAAAGAAGAGAAGTTGAATGTTATAATGTAGTACAGTAATAAATATCAGTACAGTGACATGTTATAGTTGATCAATCACTATTTATTGAAAATTCAGAGTGGTCAACATGGTCTTAGGGTTTATGGACACACAAAAACATTTTACCTATAGGAAGATATAAATGTACAATGAAGGGAGAGCTAAGGGGTAATTAAAGCCCAGTGCAGATAATCAGAGGAGGAGTGGAAGGATAGAGAAGGCTAAGAAAATGTGCCATTTTAGCCATTTTAAGTGTATAATTCTGTGGCGTTAATTAGATTCCTGTGATTGTGCAACCATCACCTGTATCTAGTTCACCACCCCAAACAGAAACTCTGTAACCATCAAGCAACACCTCTCCATTCAGCTTTCCCCCAGCTCCTGGTAACCTTTAATCTACTTTCTGTCTCTATGAATTTGCCTATTGTAGATATTGCATTTAAGTAGAATCAGACAATATTTGTCCTTTTGTGTTTGGCTTCTTTTGCTTGGCATGATTTCAAGGTTCATTTACATTGTAGCACCTAGCAGCTCCTCATTTCTTTTCATGGCTGAATAATATTCCATTGTATGCACGTACCTCATTTTTTATTTTTTATATTATTTGTTATTATTACTATTATTTTCAGACAAGAGTCTTGGTCTGTTTCCCAGGCTGGTGTCCAATGACACAATCTTGGCTCACTGCAACCTCTGCCCCTGGGTTCAAGCGATTCTCGTGCCTCAGCCTCCTAAGTAGCTGGGATTACAGGTGTGCACCACTGCTCCCGCCTAATTTTTTGTATCTTTAGTTGAGATGAGGTTTCACCATGTTGGCTAGGCTGGTCTCAAACTCCTGGCCTCAAGTGATCTGCCTGCCTCAGCCTCCCAAAGTGTTGGGATTACAGGTGTGAGCCACTGCGTTCAGCCCATGTACCTCATTTTGTTTATCCATTTGTCTCTTGATGGAAAATTGAGTTGTTTCCACCTTTTGGCTATTGTGAATGAACATTGGCATACAAGTATCTCTGAGTCTCTGTTTTCAATTTTTTAGATCTATACCTAGAAGTGTAATTGCTGGGCAATTCTGTTTAGCTTTAAGAGGAACTGCCAAACTGTTTTCCATAGGGGCTGCACCATTTCACATTTCTATCAGCAATATACAAGGGTTCCAATTTCTCTACTTCTCTGCCAACACTTGTTTTCCATTTTTCCCTTGGTTTGGATCATAGCCACCCTAGTAAGTGGTAGCTCATTGTGATTTTGATTTGCATTTCCCAAATGACTTGTGATGTTAAACATCTTTTTGTGTGCTTGTTGGCCGTTTATATAGCTTCTTTGGAGAAATGTCTATTCAAGTCATTTGCTCATTTAAAAAACTATGTTGTCTTTTTTATGGTTGAGTTGTATGAGTTTTAGAAATATGTCCTGGATATCAAGCCTTTATCAGAAATATTTTCTGATATTTTCTCCCATTTTGTGGGTGGTCTTTTCACTTATTTGATAATGTCCTTTGCTGCACAAACATTTTTAATTTTGATAAAGTCTAATTCATTTTTATTTTGTTGCTCCTGCTTTTGGTGTCATGTCTAAGAATCCATAGCCAAATCCAAGATCATGGATGGAGATTTACTCCTATGTTTCCTTCTGCTGTTCCTCACTTTTAACCATTAAATTCTCATCCAGATTTTAGAAGTCATTCACTTTGTCAGTAAAACATCAGAGACATGGGAAGCGCAGCTAAGTAAGTCATGGTGGTCACCCTGAAGGGGCTCAGACAGTAGTGGTGGAAAGAAATCTCAGTGGCGATTATGCTATGATGATGTAGCCATTCATTCCCAAACACCAATGTAAGGATCTTTTCTGGCCCACTAATTTGTGGAAAAATGATTTAAAAAGTCAAATTTTCATGAAACTAAATTTATTCCATTTAAATAACTGTCCCTCATTGTGCGAGTGTCTGCCTTCTATGATATTAGCATGTTCTTATGACCTGAGGCTAAGATAGATGATGATAGTTTATTTAAATGGCTCTACTTGGAAAATTGAGAGTGATCAACCCTGTGTCACACTTCCTAATTTGGGGAGGAAACTATGAAATTCAAGGGTTTAGAAGCCACTGCAGGTGCTAGAATTCATTTATGCGGGCCTACGAAGCATGCTGGTGATCCCTGCCTGGAGTTTCTTGGGAAGGTTTTGTGGGGATCTTGTCCGGATTCACTTCCTCAAATATCCAATTCATTTCAGCTGTAATTGTCATCTTTGTGCAAAATTTTTAGAAATAGAGAGTGGGGAAAAAGAAGAGGAAATCAAAACTAGAAGGTCTGTTTCTTAGCCTGACTTCTTCTGGGCAGCCTCTGACTGATTCCTCTTATAGGTTTTGCCAGATGGTTTTTCTCTTTACTGAAGGTATATATAAAAAAAGAAAATGAGAAGGAAAGAATCCTGCCCAGAAAGGGATTTTTTTTTTTTTTCTTATGAGAAAGAACACTCAGTTGCACTTGGCGCCTGAATGAAGTTGGGCTAATGAGTTCACCATTGTAAAACAGTGAAATTCTCCCAAACATACTAATTAAGGTATTTTTTGTCTTTTCTATTGGTTTTCGCTTTGAAGGTACTATGAAAATGGCACGCTGAAAAACTGAGGGGCCAAGTTTGGAAGAAATGACATAGTCTCTACTTGGCAATTGGCCTTGCACTTGAATGACCTGGTGTGGAGACTGGTCTCCAAATTTTCTGATGGCCACATGCCTGGGCTGCAGTATGTAGTCATGCAGTTTAATGGCTCGCTATGGATCTGTGCAGTGCACAACCTATGTAGTCGTAAACAGTGGCCTGATGTATTCTAACAAAAATATAAATAAGCATAGACACCTAAGAGATGTGTGCTGGTTTATAAATTATATACAGGTTCTATTGTCAATCCACCTAGATTATATATTGATGAAACTTGATTTCTTTTTTTAAAGATAAAAATAAAAATGAATAGCAGTTATAACAAACTTCATCTATGCTCCCATGCGTGGTTTTAAATATTCCTTGGGGTAGGTCTCCCTACTTTGGAGACATTGGCCTGGGAAGAATTCACATGGGTCTTCTTTCTCATTCGGGCAGGGCAATGCATTTATAGGGCAAGGTTGCCTCTTAGCAGTAGAGTACTTAAGAGTCTTACCACTCCCTGGGCCGGGTGCGGTGGCTCACGCCTGGAATCCCAGCACTTTGGGAGGCGGAGGCGGGTGGATCACGAGGTGAGGAAATCGAGACCATCCTGGCTAACACGGTGAAACCCGGTCTCTACTAAAAATACAAAAAATTAGCCTGGCGTAGTGGTGGGCGCCTGTAGTCCCAGCTACTCTGGAGGCTGCGGCAGGAGAATGGCGTGAACCCGGGAGGCAGAGCTTACAGTGAGCCGAGATCGCGCCACTGCACTCCAGCCTGGGCGACAGAGCAAGACTCCGTCTCAAAACAAACAAACAAACAAACAAAGAGTCTTACCACTCCCTGCCAGGACCTAGCCTCACCTGCTGGTTTTCCATTTCAGAGTACACAGTCATTAATGAAGCCTGCCCTGGAGCAGAGTGGAATATCATGTGTCGGGAGTGCTGTGAATATGATCAGATTGAGTGCGTCTGCCCCGGAAAGAGGGAAGTCGTGGGTTATACCATCCCTTGCTGCAGGAATGAGGAGAATGAGTGTGACTCCTGCCTGATCCACCCAGGTGAGTGTGGAATGGGAGACTTCAGGTTGCCTTCATGTTGTTGGAGGTAATGAACAGGAACAGGCTGAACGCCTGAATTCTAGCAGGCAGCCATCAGGAGGCTGTGGTGCCATGATTATGAAAAGTGACACAATTCAGCCCATTCTAACTAAAGGCACAGGAATAAAAGGAGTCAGTACTCTTTTCAGTGTTAAACTTGTGAAACTTTGAATTCATTCACTCATTCATTTAACAAGCTGACTGAGCAGCTTTATGTACCATGTGGGGTACTGGGAATACAATGATAAAACAAAAGACACACTTCCGGCATTCCCAGAGCTTATAGCCTGGGGGGATATGGAGAACAGGCAGCTACCATACAGTGTAGTAAGTGCTATGATAGAGAAGCATGGGGTACTATGGCAACATGGATGGGAATGGGGGCAGGTGGGAGGAAAGTCAGTGAAGACTTACTAGAGAAGGTGGTGAGCATGCTGATGGGAGAAGCAGACTAAACAAGGTGAGGCGGATGGGGAGGAGAAGTCAAGCCACAGAGGATAACATGTGCGAAGGTCCTGTGGCAAGAGGAAGCATGGGTTTTGGGAGATGCAACTAGCACAGTCCGGCAGGAGAAATGTGTATGTGATGAGAGACCTGGATAGATGGAGAGAGGGAGGGAGAAGGAGAGGGAGAGTGAGAGGGAATTAATGAATGAGAAAAGATTAAGAGAGAGCAATCTGAAGGGAGGAACAAGAGCCAGATCCTGAAGTGCTTTGCAAACTGTGCTTCAAAGTTTAGGCTATATACTGAAGATATTTTGATAACATTGGAAATCTTTTAGTAAAGAAGGGAAAGCAGATTTTTCTCTTTAGCTGTAGTATGGGGAAAGGATTGGAGGACACGCATGACTAGAGGCAGGAGAGAAATAATGGGGACCTTAATAAAGGTAGAAGCTCTATGGATGGTGAGAGGTAGAGGGATTTGGGATCTGAGAATGGAATTGACCACACGTTGGGATCTATCGGGTGGGATAGGAGAGGGAAGGGAAGAACAGAGTCAAGTCGGATGCTCTGGCTTCTTTGGGTGGGGACACAGATCCAAATCATATCACCCAGTTTGACAAATGAGGACACTGAGTCACTGAAAGCTTAAACAATTTGCCCAAGGACACACAGCTGCACGATGGCAGAGCCAGAACTCAGTTCTCCATTTTGTTAAGTGGGATTGAATCATTTGTACTTTTTCTCACGACCCCCCTCTCCCTCAAGAGGCCATGTTTTTAAACTGGTCCTTGTTGGGGAATCACACAGACCCCTCTGGTGTGGCCTGCTGGTTGTGGGGAGCCCGACACATTCCACGGTGAGCCTATTGTTAGACAGGAGAGTTGTTTCCAATGGCATGCTTTCATTACGGAAGTATATGGCAGGAAGATATTTACTGTCTATTATGAAATTCAAAAGTAAGTTACAAAAACAATGTACCATAAGTAATATAAGTCTAATTTAAAACATGTATGTGTATATAGGCAGAGAAAGACTGTTAGCAATAGCCTGGGTGATGGGGTTTTAGATATTTTTTATTTAATTCTTTTTACTGGTCTAAATTTTCTAAAAATTCCACAATAAACACGTAACATTTATACAAAAGACTCTATATTGATAGATTCTTCTGTTTCCTGCAGGCAATTTCATGTTACTTTAAAACAGCAGCCACTACCTGGGATACTCGTTGAGACCACCCTTCTAAACTCCCCAGTCTGAATTCTGGTGCCTCTAGCAGTTTCCTTGAGATGAGAGGTTCTTCCTCTGGGCTCTGACACCTTTCTAGGCCCAGATGCTCTTAGTTGAGACAGGGCCCTGAGAAGGTGCAGTTGTGCTCCCATGCAGCTGATCAGAACTCGCAGGTGCTTTGGCCTAACACTCCTCTTCTTGGGAATGTTTCAGGTTGTACCATCTTTGAAAACTGCAAGAGCTGCCGAAATGGCTCATGGGGGGGTACCTTGGATGACTTCTATGTGAAGGGGTTCTACTGTGCAGAGTGCCGAGCAGGCTGGTACGGAGGAGACTGCATGCGTAAGTAGACCTTGACCTAGCTCCATCTCTAGTGCACACTGTCTTAAAGTCTCAGCTTACAATGGACCAAAATTTATCTCCTTGGAATCTGAGTTTTGGAAAGCCTGCAGCCAGAGGGCTTTCTAGGTAAAACTATAAAAACAAAGATGGATTTCCATCTGCAAGGTGTGGATTGTGAACATTTGTTTGAATTCTTGGCCACAGGAGGTTTATGTCTACTCTTCAATCTCCTCTTCCTAAGTGAGGCCAAGGCTTTCTGCTTTATGCATTCCAGAAGCAATTGCATGGTAGCCTTGGTCAGCAAACAGTGAATAAGTCTTCAGAAATGTTGTCTGTAGTGCACTGTACGTATGAATTTCTGTTGGTAAATTTCTTGAATCCTGAATTAAATTCCTGCAACCCACAGCAAATTGCTAGCATGCCTTTTGTCCGAGGAAAGAGATTCTTTCTGGGATCTGCTTGATCTGAAAGAATTACTTAGTTTTTATTAGAGTTCTGTGAGTTTCAACAGTTCTTTGAAAATGGAGAGGAAATCTAATCTCTCGTTCAGTCCAAGATTCCCCCCGACAGTGCCCTGAATGATGAATGTCCCTCTGAGAGTCTGTATCTCAAGCAATGTACAAATTGCTTTTATTTCACTAACTTATTCCATATGCTTCCAACTTGAATCAGAAGCAGTTAGAATGGTCTTGCAGTCTAATTTTACTCCTATGAATGATATTTCCAGTTTACAGAGAGGGAGGATGGAGTGTGGTTGGTATCTTTGACTGATAAAATCTGTACTGAAATACCATCAGTTTCAAGACTCTGTGGCTAAGGATGAGTATATGGTCTGCAGCTGAGAAACTCAACTATACCAGGAGGAGAAGGGGCTTGTTGGCACTTCCAGGTGAACTGGGGAGTTCAGTTATCCATAATACAGATACTTTTTAAGTGTTGGTCTTCGTTGCTGATTTAAAACTTCGATGCCATTTTAGGTGGTTTCTCGTAAATTTAATTCAGTACCTGGCAGATTATGTTCCAGGTAGGTTAGCTGCAAGATTTAACCCTGGTCTTCTTTGGCAGCTGATTTATGGAGACTGCATTGCATAATGAGCAGAATACAAGCTCTAGAATGAAACAGACCTAGGTTTAAATAATGATTTTGTCTGTCACTGCCAGTATGACCTTGGACAAGTCATCTAACCTTGCTAATATCAGTGTCCTTTTATAAAAAAGGAGAATAATGCTACCAACTTCATAAGGTTGATTTGAGGATTAAATGAGATAATGTGTGTGAAGCACTTAGTGCTCTGACAATAGTAAAAGCTCAATTAATGCAATAAATATGTCACTGTTATCCTATATGCCCCTTAATTACTGAATTGTTAGGTGATTCAGAAATAAAACTACTCTTCTTCCTTTCATTTATTTTCCTTTCTTCCGAGATGGGGTCCTACTATGTTGCCCAGGCTGGCCTCAAATTCCTGTGCTCAAGCAATCCTCCTGATTCAACCTCTCAAGTGACGGGGACTGCAGGCACATGCCACCATGCCTGACAAAACTACTTTCAATAATAGTTTGAGATAGTTGTAATTAGAGCTGTAGTGCACAGCTTTAGATTTCACATTGACCTTTGGATTATGTAAGATCACTTTGGGTTTTTCCCTGCTTTGGGTCATATGGAAGAGTGCTCTTTCTCTGTGCACATGAGAGGGAAAGGGGGATTTGATGGGGTTGGAGTGGTAGGCAGGAGTGTGATCACGCCTTTGATATGGTTTGGCTGTGTCCCCACCCAAATCTCAGCTTGAATTGTAATAATCTCCATGTGTCAAGGGTGGGGCAAGGTGGAGATAATTGAATCATAGGGGTAGTTTCCTCCATACTGTTCTCATGGTAGTGAATAAGTCTCAGGAGATCTGATGGTTTTATAAACAGGAGTTCCCCTGCATAAGCTCTCTTGCCTGCTGCCATGTAAGATGTGCCTTTGCTTCTCCCTTGCCTTCTGCCATGATTGCAAGGCCTTCCCAGCATGTGGAATTGTGAGTCCATTAAACCTCTTCCCTTTACAAATTACCCAGTCTCAGCTATGTCTTTCTTAGCAGTGTGGGAACAGATTAATACAGCCTTGTAGGTAGGTAAGCTAGGTAAGGAATTTAGATGCTATTGCAAGTGCAGTGGGGAACCAAGGAAGAGTGGTGAAGTAGAGGATGGACCAAGTGCTCTGAGAACTAGCTAACAGAACAGTTAATGACAGGGAGAGGGAGGTAAGGTTTCAGACAGGAAGTGAAGGTTGAGCTATGCCTTTGCTCTTCAGTTGGCAGAGCAGGAAGATATTTCAGGGAGAGGGATAGTATGGTCAGGGTGTGAAAATGCAAGGTGTGTTCAAGGAAGCATGTGACATGAGGTATGATTAGAGCAAGGTGATGGTCTTGGGGTGGCAAGCCCTGACTATGAAGGGCATAGTGTTCCAGGGCTCAGAGCTTAGACATGGTTCTGAGATGAAGGATGGTTTAATCTGGGGAGTACCATTTGACAGATAACTCTTGTAGCATAACTCCGCTGGAGTGGAGGAAGACCATATCCAAAGGTAGCCATTAGGAGTGCGATTGCA
Organism: Homo sapiens; assembly: GCF_000001405.40. Taxonomy (NCBI): domain Eukaryota; kingdom Metazoa; phylum Chordata; class Mammalia; order Primates; family Hominidae; genus Homo; species Homo sapiens. The sequence continues at coordinate 35,489,451 of NC_000011.10, read as the reverse complement.
GCGCTTCAGGGGATGAAGAAGGGAGACTAGAGTGAGAAGAGCTTAAAGGAAGGAGTGACAGGACTCAAGACTCACTGAAGAATGGGGTAAGGAATCTCAAGAGTTTGCCTTTCAAATTCTTAGTTTGATTAACTGTCTAGAAGTTGATGCTGTTAAGTGAGTAATAAAAGGGAAGAGGTTTGGTGGGGGAAAGAAGGTGAGTTCCACATGAGATAAGCTGGAATTTGGACATCTATAAGAGACTCTGCAGACAGTAGGAAATAAGTGCCTGGAGCTCAAGAGAATTTTGGAGACTTGAGATATGCCTATGGCTGTTATAGATGGAAGCATGAGGTGAACAGAGCACCATGGGCAGAGGAAATAGCAACAGATGTAAAAGGAAAGGAAGAGAAAACCAGGAAGGAGATGGGAAAAGATAGAGAGATAGGAGGAGAACCAGGAAGGAGTAGGGTTCTGGAAGCTGGGGGCAGTGTTTCAAAGGCAGAAAGGTCACATAGGATGAAGGCAGTAAAGAGGTTTTTGTGTTTGATGGCTAGCATGCGATTGGTGACCTGAGCAATAGCAGTTTCATATAAAATTTGGCAGGGCGCAGTGGCTCATGCCTGAAAGCCCAGCACTTTGGGAGGCCAAGGCAGTGGATTACTTGAGCCCAGAAGTTCGAGACCAGCCTGAGCAACATGGTGAAACCCTGTCTCTACAAACAATACAAAATTAGCTATGCCACTGCCACTCTAGCCTGGGCAGAGTGAGACAGTTTCCAAAAAAAAAAAAAAAAAAAAAAAGGCAAGATTTGAAGTGTGAAAAATGGACAAAAAGAATACAGACAACTTTCTTTTAAATAAGCTTAATCAAGCAAGGAAGGGGAGAATTAAGGTGATAGTTTATATGAGTAAATAAACAGCTGTGGAAAAATACCAATTAAGATGGGAAAGGCCGGGTGCAGTGGCTCATACCTGTAACCCCAGCACTTTGGGAGGATGAGGCAGTCAGGTTACTTGAGGACAAGAGTTCAAGGCCAGACTGATCAACAAAACAAGATTCTGTTTCTACACAATATTAAAAAAATTCAGCCAGGCATGGTGGTGCATGCCTGTAGTTCTGGCTACTCAAGAGACTGAGGAGGGAGAATCGCTTCTGCAGCCAAGGATTTTGAAGCTGCAGTGAGCTATGATTACACCACTGCATTCCAGCCTAAACAACAGAGCAAGACCTCATCTCTGTCTCTCTCTCAAAAAAAAAAAAAAAAAAAAAAAAGATGGGAAAGGGTTAAACAGGTTTTAAGCTAATGTGAGTAAAGTGTCAGTAGGAGAGATTAAAAATATTACATATTAGAGTAAGACTAACTGAAGAAGTTAAGACCATGTTATCCTGAAGGAGAAGAACTTCCTATGAGATCAAGAACAAAAGTGAGAGTTAAAGGAGAGGGAGCTTCCTTTTCTGTCCTAGGCTGAGACAGGAGGAAAAGAATTATTTATAGGTAGCATATCTTGTTTGTTAGTAATTATATGGTAGGAACTGTGCTGAGCACTTTATGTGCCATGTCTTGTTTCATCTGTACAATCACCCTATGAAAATACATACTCCCATTTTATAGATAATGAAACTGAGGCTCAGAGCTGTGAAGTAACTTGCCTGAGGCCGTACACTTTGGGGTAAAGCCCAGGACGATTCCAGACCCCTTACTCTTGTTCTTAACCACAGTCCTAGTCTGCCTCCTGCTGGTGAGTTCTCCCGTTTTCTCTGGGAAGTAGGGAGTGAAATATCTGCTGAGAATGAGTAGAAGTGAGGTTGGGGCTTGAAAGTACCAAAGGTTTGGGGCAGCCACTTGAGGAACAAGAAAAGGCACCAGCTGGTGTTAAGCTTAAAGCATATCCAAGCGAGACGGAGGACCCAGTCGAAGCCAGAGTTCCTAGGGAGGTGATGCAGTCAGTTAGGACGTTGGCTGATGCTCTCTGGAAGTGCAGCAGCAGAAGGGAGTAAAACCAGTTGTTTTGTTGATCCAAGAATAAGCTGAGACATGACTGACCAAGGATCCCAGCTGGGAAGGACATGAAATCAGAAAGAGCCTGGTAGAGGGGCAATAGGGACAGGAGGTCTTAAGTGGAAAAGCAGGCTTGGTGGTAATGAAGTAATGGAACACATAGGTGGAATGGGTATTATGGTCAGAGAGTAGAGTTTCTAAGTTGAAGCTTTCAGGGATGGTGGTGATAAAGTGTTCAGTTTTTTTTTTTTTTTTCTGGGTAACTAACAATCTCAAAGGACAAATGTTTGTTCTTTCTCATGGGTCTGTGAGTTGGCAGGCATTCCACTGATTTCAACTGGGCTGACCTGGGCTGGTTGTGCTCCAGGCTGCAGGGCTTAGGCAGAAGGGACAGCAACCATCAGGGGATGCTCTTCTCAGGGTGGGTCGCAGAAGCACAAGAGGTCAAGCCAAACACACAGGTGCACATAAGGCCTCTGCGCACATCACACTCACCCATATTCCACTGGCCAAAAGAAGTCACATGGCTAAGTTCCCAATGAGTGAAGTAGGGAAGTATATGCCATCCCAAAGGAAGAGGGGTGGATAAATATTTCTAAACAATACTTCAGTCGCTCCATGTGAGTAAGGGGGTTTGTTCAGGGTGCAGGGGACAGGAAGGAAAGAATATTTGCATGCAAGAAGTCAATACAGCAAATGGTAACAAAACAAGGATAGCAGTCACCCAAATGTTATGAAACAGAAAATATTAATATTCAGAAATCCTGAGCATGTGTCTTTTTAAATAGCACCTACTGGTCAAATCTTGGGTTGCACCTTGGTGTAAGACGCTGTTTATGGAGCCTCATTGATTGGGCTGGTGATTGTGTCCATTTGAGGGTCCAGGCTTTCTCAAGGACAGCAGAACTGGCTCAGAGCAACCAGTCTATCACCTAGGCAGGCAGAACAGAGAGCTCACACCTTCGTGCATTAATCTACCCATCCAGTCAAAAGATATTTCTTGAATGGATGCTTCTAGGTGCTGGATGTACAATGATAAGCCAGACGGGCATGGTCTCTGACATCTTAGAGCTTGCGCTTTAGAGAGGAGATTTTTTTTAAAGTTAAAAAAATAGAATGTGGTCAATGCTATGAAATTGAAAAAACAAACTAATGGTCAGATTCTATCCGATCTGTGTTGGTTCAGTTTTGCTTGTTCAATTACGTTATGCTTGTTCTGAGAGCCTCATTCCACACAGTGTATGTTACCACTGCCATGAGCACTGATGGAGCATTTCTTATGGAGCACTGGGCTGGTCACCAGGGAACACAATGATTCCGCAATGAGTTTACAATCCATCTGTGAAAACAGTGCTTGACCATAAGAAGACATCAATATGATGTTATTAGGTTCTTATCACCCTCACCTCATACTGGCACTAAATAAATGTGTAGGGAATTCATAGGAAGAAGTAATTCATTTCACTCTTTGTTGAATGCCTGCCTGGTGCTGAGCACTATGCTGCCTGCCTACGTTAAGGGTCGCCTACATATGGCTGGGACACAGCGCCGGAGCCCCATGGCAGTGCAAGCATTTTCCCACTAGATGGCGCCCAAGCGATCCTTTCAGACAACGTTATCCTGAAGGCGCTTCCTTCTGAGTGTCTCTGAAGAGCCTGGGCATTTTTTTTTCCTGAGTACCATACAGAGCCTTAGAAGGAGGGAGGAGTGGCGGGCAAGTGCCAGAAGGATCAGAGCTGTTTTATATGTGGGTTAGAGAGCATCTGGCACTGAACAGATGCAGTAGCACCTTTATTTGCTCACTGTCCTTGACAATGTTTATATTACTAACCTAACTAATGACAACCTTAAAATTCATTATGGAATTGATTCATGCATAACCATTGGCAGGTTGTATTATCCAGGAGGATGGGCAAACGGCCTGAGGCTATTGAGCCCAGGAGAGAACTTATTCACATCTTTCTGCCCAGGAAAGATTGGTTTAGTAATCTCAGAATATCCAGACTAAGAGCTACTGGCACTTTATCGCCATTAAAAAAAGAGCTGTTCTTTCTACCTTTCTCCACTCTTTAATGTAAAACCTTCAATTCTACAGAGAGTTGAAAGAATAGTATACATCCATATGCTCCTTTCCAGGATTTGCCACTTTTTATCATTCTCCAACATCTGGCTCTCTCTCTCTTTTTCTGCACTTTAAGACTCATGAATTTTAATTTTTTTCTGTTTCATAGTGTTATCATAATTTTTCTTTTGATGCTTAGATTGTTTCAGATTTGGCCCGTTAAGCAGGCTGCACCTCATTTCTCCTTGAGCACTTACTTGCATTCTACCCCTGACCCTCAAATGTTTTAAGTTCACCTTGATTTTCTATGCCCAGGTCTTGAAACAAGCTATTTCTCCCTGCATCCTGGTTTCTTATAGTGGGAAATTGTATTTAGGAACTGCGATTTGGGTGCTGGCTATTAGAGGTGCTGATATCCAAAGTCGAAACCAAGGCTTCCTCTTAGGGTTTCTTAAACTCAAAAGTTGCGTTCTGAAGTGGAACCACTCTGCTGACTTCCACTGCTGACCACTGGACTGGTGTTGGTTTAGCTTGGCCCTAGGCTGAGTTCCTTGGCCATCAAAAAAGATGAGCAGCAGGAGGGCCCAAGAGCGACCCAGAATGCCACACTTCTAGCTGGCATGGCAGTGATCCCAGCCTTTCAGTCCCTGAAGGATACTGGGCATCTAAGGAGGTTAGGAAAGCAACCCAGATGAGAGGATTTATGGGGAGAGATTATAGGTCCTTAATACATTTATCTTCTTAGTCATATTTTGGACAGAGGCAGAGAAACAGAGGAACTGGCCATAAGCCATGCCCAAAAATGTTTGTAGGGTGAGTTATCGGAGAGGAAGAGGATTTGTGCAGGCCGATTCCTGAGCCATAAGTAGGAATGATTAAGAGCAAACTTAAGGGGAGTGGGGAGAAGGCTTACAAAGCTGTGTGTTACTGACTTTCGGGGCTGCCCTCCAGGGGAGCTGCGGAATCGCCTAGGGTGGAGTTACTGAAAGCTGCCTCATCTCGCTCCAGACTTTTGTGTCCTGATGCTCCCAGAAAAAGAACAATGCTCAGGTCGATTCAAACTGGGGATGGTATTAGGTGGCAGTTAGCAGCCTGGGCTTGGATTTGAATCTCTGTTTCTTTCCTGGCTTTGGGCAAGGTTACCCAATCTTTGTGAATCTCAGTTTCCTCATTTACAAAATTGGGATCCTCATAGTGGCCTTGAGAGTTTTTGTGAAGATTAAGTGAAGAACTGTCTATAAATCCCTTAATATGGAGTCTGGTATATAGTAAGTGCTCAATAAATGGTGGATAGAGTCTGGTATATAGTAAGTGCTCAATAAATGGTGGATGCTATTCTTATAATCCAGAGCCATGAAATGAGCTCTATTTGTTAGTTGTTGTTTTGGGTGGCAGGGGAAGAAATCAATATAGGGCCAGAGAAGAAAGATAATAAAAGAGAAGCCTTTAAGGTTAGAGAATACACACTGGGCACAAGGAGGTAGTCTTCACCAGACAAAGTATTGTATGGCAAATAGTATTTTATATTTTATGTGCTGAAGCTCTTTGACCACAGAGAATTCATGTTTAAATCTTTGCAGAGGATTTTATGTTGTTAAAGAACTCATCAATCATAGCTCAGCTTCTGGTGAAGGTATAGAAGGATGTGAAAGACCTTCCCTCCTGCTCAAACAGTAAGAAATCACTAGATTAAACCAAAGAAAATAACAGTTTTCATTAAAACCATAATATGAAATCTAAAAGAATTTAAACTCCAGAGGGGTGAATTCTTCCAGGATGAGCAAGAGATTCGGGATGCTTCATACTTGAAGGCAGCTGCTGCGGTTGGGGGCAGGGCAAGTGCAGGAAGGGGCCTACCAGAGAAGGAGGAGGAGAAGACAGGAAAACTTTTGAATCTATGGGCTGACCAGTTGAACTTAAATCTAGAAGAGACTCCAAGGCAAAGACAATCCTCTCCACCAAGTATTTTATTAAATGGAATTTGCCTGTGCAAGCAGAGGCTGGAATGAGGCTACGAAGCAGGAGATCTTGGGATGTTGTCACCTTGCAGCTTTATAAGCTTGTGGTCTCAAAGTCTCACAGTCTCATGGGCTCACAGCTTCCCAGTCTTGTAGTCACAGGAGTGCAGGAAGCTGGGGGAAGGAGGAGATGAAAATCAAAGAGAGATTTCCTTAGGTTTATGGGGTTTGAATTTCAAGGCTCTTCTGGTGAGATTATAGCTTCAGTCCTGCCCCAAATCAGCTTAACCCTTGATTGGGTCAAACTGATTCATCCCTGATCAGTTCTCCCACCAGCCTAATAGAGGAGAGGGCGTTTGCAATCAAAGGAAACAATAGATCTCTTGTTGTGAACAAGCAAGGAAATAAGATCTACATTCAAGAGAACAACCAGTCAAAAGAAATAGAGCATGGGTGATGAAATGGAAATTTTCAAACAAGAAACTTTTACATAACTTTAAAATAAATGCACTAAAAGATTGACAGGAAAAGATGACTATAATGGATGAAGACATGAAAAATTCACCAAATCAATGAGCAAAAATCACAAACATTCCTATACATCAACAATAGACAAGCAGAGAGCCAAGTCATGAATGAACTCCCATTCACAATTGCTACAAAGAGAACAAAACACCTAGGAATACAGATAACAAGGGACATTAACTACCTCTTAAAGAGAACTACAAACCACTGCTCAAGGAAATGAGCGAGGACACAAACACATGGAAAAACATTCCATCCTCATGGATAGGAAGAATCAATATTGTGAAAATGGCCATACTGCCCAAAGTACTTATAAATTCAGTGTTATTCCCATCAAACTATCATTGACATTCTTCACAGAATTAGAAAAAAATTACTTTAAATGCCATATAGAACCAAAAAAGAACTCATATAGCCAAAACAATCTTAAGCAAAAAGAACAAAGCTGGAGGCATCATACTACCTGACTTCAAACTATATTACAAGGCTACAGTAATCAAAATAGAATGGTACTGGTGCCAAAACAGACATACAGACCAACGGAACAGAACAGAGACCTCAGAAAAAACACCACACATCTACAACCATCTGATCATCAACAAACCTGACAAAAACAAGCAATGAGGAAAGGATTCCCTGTTTAATAAATGGTGCTGGGAAAACTGGCTAGCCATATGCAGAAAACTCAAACTGGACCCCTTCCTTACATCTTATACAAAAATTAACTCAAGGTGGATTAAATACTTAAATATAAAGCCCAAAACTATAAAAACCCTAGAAGAAAACATAGGCAACACCATTCAGGACATAGGCATGGGCAAAGACTTAATGACGAAAATGCCAAAAGCAATTGCATCAAAAGCTAAAATTGACAAATGGGACCTAATTAGACTAAAAAGCTTCTGCACAGCAAAAGAAACTATCATCAGAACAAATAAGCAACCTACAGAATTGGAGAAAATTTTTGTAATCTACCCATCTGACAAAAGTCTAATATCCAGAATCTACAAGGAAGTTAAACAAATTTACAAGAAAAAAACAAACAACCCCATCAAAAAGTGGGCAAAAGATATGAACAGACACTTCCCAAAAGAAGACATTTATGGCCAGGCAAGGTGGCTCATGCCTGTAATACCAGCACTTTGGGAGGCTGAGGCGATGGATCACTTGAGATCAGGAGTTTGTCACCAGCCTGGCCAACATGGTGAAACCCTGTCTCTACTAAAAACACAGAAATTAGCTGGGTGTGGTGGCATGCTTCTGTACTCCCAGCTACTTGGGAGGCTGAGGCAGGAAAATTGTTTGAACCTGGGAGGTGGAGGTTGCAGTGAGCCGAGGTCATGCCACTGCACTCCAGCCTGGGCAACGGAGCAAGAATCTGTCTCAAAACAAACAAACAAACAAACAAACAAACAAAACAAGAAGACATTTATGCAGCCAACAAACATATGAAAAAAAGCTTAGCATCACTGATTATTAGAGAAATGCAAATTAAAAACACAATGAGATACTATCTCATGCCAGTCAGAATGGTGATTATTAAAAAGTCAAGAAATGATAGATGCTGGTGAGGCTGTGGAGAAATAGGATAGCTTTTAAACTGTTGGTGGGAATGTAAATTAGTTCAACCATTGTGAAAGACAGTGTGGTGATTCCTCAAGGATCTAGAACCAGAAATACCATTTGACCCAGCAGTTCCATTACTGGGTGTATACCCAAAGGAATATGAATCTTTCTACTATAGAGACATATGCACATGTATGTTTGTTACAGCACTATTTACAATAGCAAAGACATGGAACCAACCCAAATGCCCATCAATGATAGACTGGATAAAGAAAATGTGGTATATAATATACCATGGAATATTATGTAGCCATAAAAAGGAATGAGATCATGTCCTTTGCAGGGACCTGGATGAAGCTGGAAGCCATCATCCTCAGCAAACTAACACAGGAACAGAAAACCAACCACCACATGTTCTCACTCATAAGTGGGAGCTGAACAATGAGAATACATGGACATAGGGAGGGAAACAACACACACCAGAGCGTGTCAGGGCCTGGGGAGTGAGGGGAGGGAGAATATCGGAACAAATATCTAATGCATGCAGGGCTTAAAACCTAGATGATGGGTAGATAGGTGCAGCAAACCACCATGGCACGTGTATTCCTATGTAACAAACCTGCATGTTCTGCAAATGCATCCTGGAATTTAAAGTAAAATAATAAAAAAAGAAAAAGAAATTCAGGAGAGATTTGAAAAGTATTTAAAAGAACACAATGGAAACCCTAGCACTGAAAAATACAATAAAAAAGAAACCAACTGGAAATCCTAGAACTGAAAAATGCATTATCTGAAATAAAACAAAAATTCATTGGAGGGGATTAATGGCCTATTGGTCAAAATAGAAGAAAAGATCAGGGAACTTAAAGACAGTTCAATAGAAATCAACCAAACTGAAGCACAGGGAAAAGAGACTGAAAGTATTTAGCAGTCTTAACTCTTTGTGCTACCCTAGCCAGACCCTGTCCATTGAGTTGTATTAGCAGGGCTATTTCCATGTGAGTGTTTTGTGATAACCCTGGCAACTTTGGGTGAAGAAAGACTTTCTGCAGCAAAGTGGTAGATGCTATTCTTTCTGAACAACCATTTTTTCAACTGAATGGACAGGCCATTTGACATGGGGTGGTGGGGAGGGGCTTTAAAAATGGTTTGTTTGGACAGAAATAAGTTTGAATTGGTTTTTTGGTCTAACTATTCATTCAGTTAGTAGTTATGGTAATTGAGCACTGACTTGGCGGAGGCAGAGGTATAAACAGGACAGATGATATTCCTGCTCTCGTGGAACTGCGTCATGGGGGAGGCAGACAATTCAATAAACAATCATAGAGTCAGGTGGATTGGGGTTATATGTCAACTCACAGGCTGAGCTGAGGACTTGTCATTGTTCCTGATGAACACCTGAGCCCCTGATAAAAGCCAACACGTAGTACTTACTATGAACCAGGCATCATTCGGAGTACCTTCCTGTACTGACTCATTTAATCCCCATTGCAACCCTTGTCACAGCCATGTGACAGATGAAGACACTCAGGCACAGAGGGATAAATAACTTTTCTGCTGTCATACAACTTGTAAGTGGCAGAGCCAAGATGAAAATTCAGAAGCCAGCCCCAGAGCCCCTTCTTTTATCCTCTCCACGAAACCATCTCTTGATGTGAGAGCCCTTAGGGTCTTCATCATCTAATCCTTGGCTCTGCTATCACTGTCTGGGATGCTAAACCTGTTGGGTTTAGGGTTCTAGCCAGTGAAGAGATGAGGCTCTCATGAGCCCTGGAGCAGTGGGTCAGAACCTGAGCTGTCCCCTGTGATTCCTGGACCAAAACAATCAGTGCCTCAGATCCAGACAAGACTCGAGAAAAATAACAATATTTGTTGCCACTTATTGAGCATTTTTATGTACCAGGTGCTGTGCTAAGTGCTTTACATACAATATCTCATTTAATCCCTAAGACAAGTGAGAAAAACACATTGTTGCAGGTACAAATATTCTCATTTCCAAATGAGAGACCTTGGCTCAGAAAATATAGTGGCCTTTTTTAGAGTCACACAACTAGTAAGTGGCCGAACTAAGATTCGGACCCCGGCTGGCATCACAGACTGTGTCATCTTTGAAGGAGGAAAGAAAATGCAAATGCCTCTCTCTGAATTTTTTTAAGTCCTCCTTTTCTTTCTAAGAGGAAACAGTAAAGAAAAACAAAACCCAACCACTTCTTAGAAGTGTGTGTGTCTCTCCCACAATCCCCTCCCCTGCACCAAATGCTGAAGATAAGAAGACTTTTGTCTGAGGCTAAGGGTGTTCATTTTTGTTGAGAGCCTTTTCCAGCTGTCTTACTGGTCTAGAAATTAATAAAGATTTCCTTTCAGTTCTGTAGAAGCAGGGACTATCCAGCCGCCCCTCCTGTTTGGGCACGTAGCCATGGGGAAAGATCGGCAATGAGGCCAGGATTTGAGAGCTCAGGGCACAGTCCAGCTTCACTGACAGATATCACTACACACACACAGACACACACACACACACACACACGCCCACACACCTATACCCCTCTTCTCCTGCAGTAAGACATTGTTAAGGAATCTGAGCACATCTTCCAGGCTCTTTGCCTGCTCTGGTCTTTCAGACTCAGGACCACCTGCTAGGTTGGCCAACGATACTTCCTTGGCAGGGACACTCAGCTGTGTTCACTGTTCTGCCCTAGACAGAGAGGTGTAGTCAGGCTGCCCCTGCACCCAGCCTCGCCAGCTCTCCAAGTAGAGGCAAGAGTGGAGAGGGAATTGAAGGCATTCCTTGATGTGGGGAGGGAGCGCTCCCTCCTCCTCTTGCTGTTTCCCTAATATACCTTCTTCCAAACACATTTCCAAGAAGTGGCCCCTTTGTCTCTGGTTGTTTGGAAGTTGTTCCCCATCTTGGGGCCAACTCTGCCCTCCCCTTCAGAGTGAAAGGAACCTCATTAAGAAGAATGGAGATGTTGCATGTGTTTAGAATCCTGGCTGCTTCTGAAGGACAGCCCCTGAGGCTACAGGAACAGGTGGTCCAGCATTTCACATGGCCAGGGATCGGGCATCTGGGTGAGGATGGGGACTGAGCCCTCCAGAGACTGCAAGAGACCCTGGAGCTGGCCAAAGCCCAAATGGATGTGCCAAGGAAGCCTAAATGGGGATGAGCACCGCCTTCCCTTGGATTTGGGGAGGGGCCTGAGGCACAGCTGGCTGCTTCCAGCTTCCATATGGAGAGAAGAAACTGGGAGCAGGCTGGCAGGATTTGCTGCTGGTTCTAAATTGGGATCCCCAGCAGGAGGTTTGCTGAGGGAGCTGGGATTTAACACCTTACAGGCTGGGAAGCTGCCAGTCCCTGAGGGACGGGGGCTGTGCAGGAAGGCTTCTTTTGTTGTCTCTCACACCCTGCATATCACTTCCGTAGCCCAGCAGCAGATGGGTAGATGGGGGCGATGAGGAGTGTGAGGTGTGCAGAGAAGGAACGTGCATTTCAAAAAGGGAGCGGGCAAAAATTCCATGTATCTCTCTTAGGGGTGGAAAAATTCTGCCGTTTCAAAATGGAGTGGGAGAGGACTGGGTCAGAATGCCCCTAAGACAGTTTAACATATCAGCAAAGACTCAGCGTTGATACTAGACAGATCCAAGGTCATATCTCTGCTCTGCCACTCGATACAAACAGCTAACATTTACTAATTTTCCTGCTAAGAGTTTGCCATGCACGATTTAAGCTTCACAAAACCGTATACAGTAGCTGCCACTTTTATTCACATTTGATTCAAGTTGACTGAGGTTCTGACAAAGGAAGTAACTTGCCCAAGGCTGCACGGCTAGGGAAAATAAAGCTGAGTTTCAAACCAAGGGCAGTCAGATTCTGCAGTCTCTATTCTTAACCACTGCTTTACCATTAGGATAACGATTTACAGTCTTCTAACTTCCTGGCATCTGAGTTTAGGGAAATCACTTAACTTCTCCATCTTTAGTGTTCCACATCTAGAAAATGGGGAGATGAATGTTGTTCTCTGTGTTTTTTTATGAAGACTAAATGAGAAAATACAAATGATAATATCAACATCCTTTTATTCAACAAATATGCAGTGAGCACCTGTTATATGCCAGGTACCATTCTAGGTGTACAAGCTAGAAAAGATCCCAGCTCTATCAAAGGGAGTAGGCAAGTAAGTGAGATAATTTCAAATAGGCGTGTGTATTATGAAGGAAACAAAGCAGAGTAATAATATTGACCATAGAATTGGGAGGGCCTGTTTTAGCTGGATAGCAAGGAAGGCCTCTTTGAAGAAGTGGCAGTCGAACTTATTATTTTTATTATTCTATGTTTTTAGATGAAGTCTTGCTCTGTCACCTAGGCTGGAGTGCAGTGGTGCAATCATATAAGCTTAATTCTTACAGGAAAGAGATGCAGAAGAAGATGAGCCTTCTAGGTTTAGAAAACAGCAAGTACAAGGGCCGGAGTTGGGCACAGAAAGTAGGCTGTGTCTAGGGCAGTGGGGACAAGCAGATGAGTGGTATGTGAGACTGGGAGGAGTGTGGGTTTAGGCAGCCAGCAAGGCAGAGCTGCAAATAACATAGGAAGGTGTCTGCACAGTGGAGAACCTTTGGAGGGCTTGAATCAAGAAGATAATGTGATCTGATTAATTTATTTAAAAGGTGGCTTTGGATGCTAGGTGGACAACAGTATGTTCGGGAACAAGGGTGAATGGCGGGTGTATTTGTTTTCACTCTGCTATGTAGAAATATCTGAGACTGGGTAATTTATAAAGGAAAGAGGTTTAATTGACTCACAGCTCCGTGTGGCTGGGGAGGTCTCAGGGATCTTACAATCATGGCAGAAGGGGAAGCAAACGCGTCCTTCTTCACATGGCAGCAGGAGAGAGAAGTGCCAAGCGAAGGTGGAAAACCCCTTATAAAACCATCAGATCTCATGAAAACTCACTCACTATCACAAGAACAGCATGAAAGTAACCTTTCCCATGATTAAATTACATCCCACCAGGTCCCTCCTATGACATGTGGGGATTATGGGAACTACAAAGATGAGATTTGGGTGGGGGCACAGCCAAACCGTATTACTAGGAGATGAAGGAGGAGATGAGATTACAGAGAGAGATGATGGAGGCTGGGGCTAGACAGGAGCCCCAAGTGGAAACTGGTGGATGATGCTTTCCATCATTGGCACAGGGCAGCAGCAATAAAGATCTTAGTGAAGAGATAGATTGTATGACCTAGCAGTAGTTTTCACAAAAGTAAGAAGCCTCAGACCTCATAGCTTTGTCAAAAGTGGAGTTTGGGCTCTTTTCCTAACACTAGAAATATTACTACTGTCATCTTGCCATGGTGCAGTATCCACTAGTAATATTTTTATTTTTAGTTATGAAATTTTGTACTTTTGGGGAGTTATTGAATATAACTATGCATCCAAGTTTAAGAAGGCAATCTGGATTTCTGTATAGAAATAGGGAAGGTAAACTTTTTATGTGAATAGCCGGATAGTAAGTATTTTCATTTTCATGGGGCCTACTGTCTCTTGCTATAATTACTTAACTCTGCCATGATAGTCCAAAAACAGCCATAGGCAATACATAAATGAATGGGTGTCACTGTGTTCCAATAAAACCTTATTTTCAAAAGGAGGCAGTGGGCTGTATTTGGCCCAAGGATCATAGTGTGCAACCCCCAGGTAGAGAATATCATTTATTTCATGATCCAAATAATTTTTCCATAGAGCCACTTCAAGACATTTTCCCCAAACTTTTGGGTACAAAAATACAGTGCATTTTCTATACCTGTGCTTATCTTAACACTAGAAAACATGATCTAATTTAAAGACTATTCAATACGGTGGTTTTCAAATCTTAGGGATTCCTTGGAGGTAACTCAGCAGACTAGGTAAGGATCGGGGTGGAGGGTTTTGGGCCCCTACTTCTGCTTTAACCAGGAGCCCCTTTTTTATACATTGAGTTTTATTGGTGATCTTGATAGGACTTTATTTGAACAAAAGGGGTTGGGAGCAAGAAAAGAATGAGAAAATCATCAATCCAGTCCAACTGGTTGGAAATCATCTCTCCTTTCCACTGTCATGCATTAAAGAGGCATTTATTACATAACTACTCATAGAATAAATTAATGCCTTGATTTCCTGCCTGGATGGTGGAGGAAAGTGAGTAGAGCTGTGGGGAGGGTCTACTTTCTGAGCCTTTTAAGGTAGGGGCAGCAGGCTGGCATTTGTCAGGCCTGGAGAGGAAGGATGATAGGGTGGCTCGAACTTTACATTCAAACACAGTTAGGTTTGAGTCTTTGCTCCGTCACTTAGCGGCTAGACAAGTTATTTATTTAACTCTCTGATCATCTATCTGTTTTCCCAGCTGGAAAATTGTGAGGACACCACTTCCCTTCCCAAGCTGTTGGGTGGATTAAATGAATTAATCTATGTAAATTGCCTGGCACATTGCCAGCTGCTTGAGAAACATTAATTTCCTTCTTCCTTTTCCCTATTCATCCTGTTCTCAGGGGTGTGGCATGTGCTCAAAGTCTCGTTGAGACCTTCTCTAGTCTCTTTCCTATTGACCTCCATTTTTATGTCCCAATCTTTTCTTCTTTTCTTAGGATGTGGCCAGGTTCTGCGAGCCCCAAAGGGTCAGATTTTGTTGGAAAGCTATCCCCTAAATGCTCACTGTGAATGGACCATTCATGCTAAACCTGGGTTTGTCATCCAACTAAGGTAAGGAGCTGGGGCCAGAAGTCAGGAGTCTGAGGTTATAAGGATACAGAAATGGGATGGAAGGCTCTTGGTCACTGGGATCCTCTGGAGCCTTTGTATATTGGAGCCTTTCTCTTTACCACTCTGATTCTCTGGGATAAGGCCTGGCTGAAACTGCAGCCAACTAAATGCTTGTCATCAACACTTTAGAACCGTGGGGCTCAGATGATTTTGACCCAAGGATAACGTCAACAAAGCAAAATACTGAGAGCAATCTACCCATCCGCAAATCTTAAACAGTGTTTCCTACTTACTCGGACTGGGCTGGTTCCTATGGGAGGGATGTAAAGAAATAAAAGGCACAGGCCTAATTTTCAAAGAATTATACTTTAGATTGGGGCTGATGCTTGTCACAGCTCCTTTAATTGGGGCTTTCAGAAAAAAGCAAACATCCCACAACAAATAAACTAATTCTCTCACCTGTGTGGAAGATGAGTCATTTCTTTTTATGGAGCTTTAGGGCCTTCGCAAATGTTGTTTATGCCACAGTCCAAAGTATAGATCCTGTTTTATTGTAACTATTGATAAATGCTACACGAGGGTCCTGTTTTGTGAGAACCGTTCATGACTGCATCATAGTGCTGGAACAGTTCATGGCACACTATAGTTGCATGATAAATGCTTGTTGCATGAATAAATGCTGAAAGAACTGCCTTCTGATTGCAGTGTATCTTCTCTCTAATGAAAAACACCTCCCGCTTTCCTCACTCACCCCTAGAATGGCTAGGGTCATTGTCCACTTAGCTCTTCTCATTTTAACCCTGTGGTGACAGTGAACGGATTTAAAATCCCTAATCCTCTAGGGCACAGGCTTTCACTAAGTATATTCTGGGTGGCTAAATGGACACAGAGGTTACCACATGCTACCTGGCTCCTTGAATGTCTCTCTGTCCTCCAGGAGGGGCAACATGGTACCCTGAATTAGAAAAATCCAGCAAAACAAGTCCCCTTCTCAATCTTCCTCTTCAAAACTAGTGCATGACAGCTTGTGTTTCCACTCCCTGAGGACGTGGGGTTGGGAATGAGTCTCATTAATTCCTAGAGGAAGCCTGGCTCAAGGAACAAGCGATGAACCACACTGTTCCGCCCATTGAGCTCAAGGCTGGGTCTGCAGGGATGATAAAGGTAGGTGTTAAATGCTGCATGTTAATATTTCAGCAGCTCAGGGACCAAGACAAATGGTCCCCTCTGGGCCTCTGAGGAGCTTCTCCAAAATCCAAGATGCAAAAGGATATTCTAAAATAGCAAAACGGTGGAGGATTGAGAAGCATATTAGCTGCCCAGGAAAGGGCCTTAGGGAGTCATGGAAATGTGTGGATTTCTTTTCCTTTAGTTAAGTCTGGAGCACCTGGCCAGGGACAGTAATAATGATGGAAATACTTGGAAGCATAGGCACAATGTTCAGCCCCAAAGCCCAGCAGGTGTCCCTGATGCCCCTTTTCCATCACCTACCACCAGACCACCACAAAGTCTATTTTCCTGCTTGAAAAATAGTCCATCCACAGCTCTCTGTCACCACTGTCACCATTCTGCTTCAAGCCACACCCATCTCCCACTGAGATTCTGTCATGCCCTCCTAACTGGCTTCCTGGCTTCCACTCCTGCCAGCTCTGCCATCTCCTCTCTGCAGAGTGGCTGCAGGGAGCCTTTAAAATCTGAATCCGGCATTATCCCCTTGTTGAAACCTTTCAGAGGCTTCCTATAGACTTGGAATAAAATCTAGATTCCTTACCACACAAGATCTATCGCAGGCTGCCCTCACTGGCCTCAGATCCTATCACTCTCCCATTCATTCACCACCTTGCAGCATCCCTGGCTTTCTTTCAGTTTCTCGAACATGTCAACCTCATCATTGCTCCAGGGCCTTTGCACTTACAGATTCCCCTGCCTGGACCACTCTGCCCCATGACCTTCACAAGGCTGGCTCTACTGCATCATTTAAACCTCTGCCCAGCTAGCACATCCTCAGAGGGGGCTTCTTTGACCACATTGTGTCAGAAACTTAACACCTTAGTCACTTTTTATGCTCTTACCTGGTTAATTTGATTCACGGCACTCAGCACTCTAAAATTACCTTGTTGTTTAGTCTCCTTGCTTATTATCTATCTTCTAACCCAGAATTAATCTCCATGAGGGCCGGCACGTGCCTAGCTGGTAGCTGGGGCACTGCTATGCTGACAGCACCTAGTACAGTGTCTGGGACAGAGCTGGCCTCCAGAAATATGTGTTCAGTAAGTGAACAAATGGACAAATGAATGCATGAACGCAAATATAGTTGCACTATCTCTTCAGCTTCGGAAAAAACTGTGGCTTCTGTCAGGTGGTAGCTTCTCCCTTACTCTGAAGACAAAGATATCAAGGCCAAGAGAAGGAGCTGATTCCTTAACACACACAGTGAGTGCATGGTGGCATCTGCATAAGAAATCAGCTGTCCTCTTAGATGTTAGAGCAGGCTGTACAAAATGCGATTCACAGGACCTACACCCCAAAAGCTCTGTGATCAACCCTTTGTGAAGTAAACACTGATGAAACTCGGTTATTGGATTTCTTTGTTAATAGTACCTTTTAGAACACTTACAATCAATATACTGATTGTCACTATATTCCAGTGTTCCCTAATGCTGGCATGTTGGGTTTTTACTGTAGGTGGCAGAAATATCCCTACTCCCAACATTTTAGGCAGCAGTTATGGGCCTTTCTATTTCTATTTTTTCTCCAGAGTGTGGAGGAGAAGGTACAGACATACATTTTGTGAACTTGATACTCATGTATTCCCTTGGGAATCCTGGAAAAATGCTTTTGCCTCTCTTGCCCTGGGATGTGGCTGCTGCTTTTCTTGTCTCTTGGAATCGGGGGCTTAATGTCATCTTCTGTGTTTCCAATCTGGTGTATCTCAGTGTTTTCAAACCCAAGACCCCTTTTGGATAAGCATGGATGTGTCAGGTTTCCTTAACCCCTGAAATTCTGACTTGGTGCTACTTTCTCTACTCTTTGGGTGAGAATTATCGTTGCCTAGAAGATAATTACCTTCTGATTCTTCCATCAAACGGAAGAGTGTGCAGAGGTTTTTTTTGTTGTTGTTGTTGTTTTCCCCTTTACTTAGTCTTGCAAAACAATATGAGCTTTTTTTCATTCTCCAACTATAAAATTACAATAAAGTATCCATTCAGTCGTATATTTGGCAATATCTGTAGCATCTCCATAGGCCAGGCACTGCGCTGGACACTGTGAAAACTGTGGAACGAGGCAGGTGTTCCTCTCTGCCTTCAAGTTACTTGCAGGCCAGTGGAGAAGACAGGCCACACATAGACACACAAAAAGTCAAGGAGGTAAATATAAGAGGTTGAAATTTATGTCTACAGTATGAGAAAAATAAGGGATCTTCTTTGGAAAGAGTGGTCAGGGAAGCCTCTTTGAGGAGAGAATATTTAAGCTTAGGCCTGAGGATAGGAAGGAACCAGCCACACAGACTGGGAGGAAAAAGTGCCCTGGAAAAGAGACCAACACATGCAAAGAGTCTCTGCATGGATTATGGCACCTTGCTCCACCTGGGCAGGCACTTGCATGTGCACATACATGCAAACAGTGCACAAATACATACTCCTCTGCTAAGAGAAATTCGCCAACCTCTGAGGACCATTTTCCTATCCGATCAGGCCAGTGACACCATCTGTTCCTCAGGCCTGTTCCTCATCTGGCCTTGAATGAGCCCAGCGGTCTCAGGACTGTCCAGGGCCCATCTGCTTCCCTCCGTCACCCTGTCCACCCACAGATTTGTCATGTTGAGCCTGGAGTTTGACTACATGTGCCAGTATGACTATGTTGAGGTTCGTGATGGAGACAACCGCGATGGCCAGATCATCAAGCGTGTCTGTGGCAACGAGCGGCCAGCTCCTATCCAGAGCATAGGATCCTCACTCCACGTCCTCTTCCACTCCGATGGCTCCAAGAATTTTGACGGTTTCCATGCCATTTATGAGGAGATCACAGGTAAAGGCCAAGGAGACAAATGTGGCATTTTATGGCTTGCTCCAGATAAATATCTCCTTTCCATGTCCCTTCCTTTCTTCCTCTCATCCTTATTAAAACCTAGTAGGCTGTGTTCTTAGAAACAGCCTACACACTGAGAAAAAAGAAATAGCAAGGTATATTTCAGAAAAACTCACTCAGAACCAGAACTAGGAATGATCTCCCTTATACAAATGGCAGTGGCTAAAGCACGGAGAGGCTGAATGACTTGTCCAAGGTCACACAGATATAGGGGCAGAACTAGGGATTTGTACCCAAGCTGTTCGGCTCTAGAGCTCACACAGGGTGACCTCTCATGGTTGGGAGCATTGGCTTTAAATCCCTGACAGATCAAGCTATGTGACCTTGGGTAAGTTCTTCTACCCCACTGGGCCTCTGTTTCCTAATGAGTGATAAGGGAGTAATAGTAGATCCTTCTCCATTAAGGAGGCTCTGAGAGACAGAACAAATGGAGAGCTTGGCATAGTCTGGTACATAGTAAGAATTCAACAGCTGCCCAACCCTAGGCATACATTTACCCTCCACTTGCCACCTATAAAATAGGTATTAAAAGACTATAATGGTAAATGTCATTGACTTGATGAGTAACTTTAAGCCTGACTGTAACTCTTGCTGTGATCATATTAGGAAGTAGGATTTGACCAAACTGAACAAAATGCTTAATCCTAAGCAATCACCCCACTCTCATCGTTCTGAGATCAGATTGCATCAGGTTTTACAAAATAAACACAGGCTTGAAGTTTGATTTAAAAAAAAAAACTGAATTAAAAAAGAACTCGTAATGGTATTCTGATCATTAAGACTTCCTTATTCATAGGGTATGACATGAAAGTCTCAGGAAAGAAGGTGGGTGGCTGAATAATCAGTGTTTCTTCAGTCCTGTCTGTTCAGCAAGGCCAGGAGACCCTGCTCCCCGGTCTACCCCTCTTTTAGGAGGCTGCCTACAGGAACTCTCAGCAGGTGCTCTCTACAGTCTCTGTGCCTGCCCCCTGTGGAGCTGTGCAGGGCCTGGGAGTTCTGATGCTTTGCTGCTGTGGTGTGATCAGCCTGTGGCTGAATCCTCTTCCCTTGGTGACACCCTGCAGGTATAGGCTGAGCAACGTCCCACATGAGATGTGTCTGTGGGGGCTTAGGACAGTCAGCAAGCCAGGTAGGGGCAGCAGTGGCTGGCCAGTCTGTGAATCTGGGACTGAGGGACGGTCAGGAGAATGTCTTGCTCCTCTGAAATGACCTCCTCAACCTCCCCTGGAGAACTTTGGCAATACTGGCCTGTGTTTTATCAATGCCGTCAAATAATACCACTTCCCATTTTTCAAACATCCCTGTTTGTTCACTTGCCTTCAAGATATTTCCTCTGGCTAAAGTCACCTGTCTGCAACCTGCACATCAAAATCCATCCTTCATAGCCCCTACTACATTCTTCCTCCTCTCCTAAATCTTTTCTCTTGCTCCAACAAGCTATGGCTTTGCCCTTTTTTGAATGTCTTGTAGCATTGCCTCTTCTTTCTTCGTAATACACTAACTATATTATGCTTCAAGTCATAGTCGTTTTATATTTTTCTTCAAGTAGTTTTAATCTGGTAAATAGGACATCCTGTTCTTCCTTGTATTTCTCCCTTGTCATGTTTTGAGCAAGTACTCAAGACAGGTTTGTTGAACTGAGCCAAGGAATATACTTCTACATTGGGATAAATGAATGTAGGATTGATGGATAACACACAGATGAATGTTTCTCAAAATCTTTTCTGTAGAAAAATAGTCCCCAGGATGCCTTGTAAAATGCAGGCTTTGAGGTCAAATAAGCTTGAAATTCACAATGTATATTAGGAAACTCACAATGTATATTGGGGCATTGAACTGAGAAGTTCTGCAGTAAAGAAATCTGGTTAATTAGCATTGAATGTCAGCAACATTTCCCTAACATATTTGAGCTCAGAACCCTTAGTAAAACACATCAACATCTCAAGGGACTAATGATTACAGAATGTAAGTTTGGAAATTATTGAATATACCTTCAACAGTGTCATAATGATTGTCTTCCAGTTGCATTGCCCCAGTACCCAGGATGGTGAGCTTTTATTTGAAAAAAGATGGTCTTCAGCTACCCAAGGATGTCTCTGTCCGCTGAAACCCCTATGGGAGAGATACAAGCATGGCTCTGCTTTCATCAATTTAATGTTCTTGTTTGCATTGCCTTGTGGTCTTCAGACTATAGGAGCGTTAAGCATACTTCTGGGGCCCTCAAAAACATCAAATAATATCACCAACATTTGATATTTAATGAGTATCTATTTTAGGCATTTTCAAATAATCATAACATGAATTCAGTAAAGGGAAGAAAAAACATTGCAAGAAGACTTTAATAAGGAATTAAAAGACTTTGGTCAAGACTCTGGGCCTGAAGACATCGACTCAATGTATAGTGGCACTGAAGGATGCCTTTTCTCTTACAGCATGCTCCTCATCCCCTTGTTTCCATGACGGCACGTGCGTCCTTGACAAGGCTGGATCTTACAAGTGTGCCTGCTTGGCAGGCTATACTGGGCAGCGCTGTGAAAATCGTGAGTATGCTTCCTAAGTGGGAGTTAAGGTGTCAGATGGGGCTGGTATGGAAGGATTTTAAGAGCTTGCAGGGCCAACTCTTTCTTCATGTCTAGGATGCTCTGTCCAAGATGGTGCACAGTGTGGATACTCCCAGTGAGTGATTCTCAGAGGGGCATAGCTGCTTCTGAGTCAGGTTCTCTTCAACTTCCTAGGTTTGTCTATTGACATTTCCAACCCTCACTTGCTGCAAATACCTCTTAGAAAGATACAATGGCCTCTAGTAATATTCAGAGCTCAAAAACACTGAAAAAGGTCAACAAACTTTCCTGTGGCTCAGTCTGTATCCCTGTCCATTCTAAGATCTGTATTTTAGATTTATACTCTGGCACCATTCACAGGCTCCAATGTGACTTATTGCATAACTTGAAGCCCTGCAATGAGGGTGGTAGATATACATTTTGCTGAGCAAAATTATTAATAGCATCCTCTTTCGTGAGCAAAGTGTCTTGAATTGGATGACAAACTATATGGTCATGTTTTAACACATGTCTTATATAAGGCCTTGGTTACCAGACCGAAAACAGGTGTCACAGATGGAAGCCATCAGCATGGAATGTGATGTGCATAAGGACAAGAATTTGGGGGAGAGCAAAGGAGGACAGAGAGTCTCCTAGGTAGGTTTTCCCAAAGCAGATCGTGAGTTGAGAATGTGTACACAAGTGAAGTGTTAAGGACAGGCTCCCTGGGGAAGCTTATAGGGGTGTGGGAAGCTGGCCTGGGAAGGGAAGGAGGCCAAGTAGGGGTGCGATTTCAGGCAAAATACCAACCTCAGTGTTAACCTGTCATGAGATCTGGAATGTACATTACTCCTTAGAGTAATGTTCTAGCTTTAAGGCAAGGGATCTGGGCTTTCATATGCCCACAGCAATCAGTCATTGGGTGCGGGCTGCCCTGGGGAACTGGAGGACATAAACCGTGGGCACATATGGCTTTCTATGCATGTGGGCAAAGTGGTTCCAGTAGCCCCTGAGCAGTTCCCTGAAAGAGAATCACAAGTACAGGCCATTGGAAGTAAAATACCATAGGATGGGGAGGGGAAAAGGGCCCACAGAAACACAGAAAATAGACCCGAGGGCAGAGCACCAACAATATCTACTACAGTCACTTCTAACTAGAGTGCACAGGTACTCTGTGGTCATCTAACAGCCTGGTCTGGCAGTATTCTCTAAAGTTTGTGTATGTTTTGAATTAATTTTCACTAATGTTTTCCTTTTTTTTTTTTTTTTTTTTTGAGATAGAGCCTCTCTCTGTCGCCCAGGCTAGAGTGCAGTGGCGCGATCTCGGCTCACTGCAAGCTCCGCCTCCTGGGTTCACGCCATTCTCCTGCCTCAGCCTCCCAAGTAGCTGGGACTACAGGCGCCCGCCACCACACCCGGCTAATTTTTTGTATTTTTAACAGAGACGGGTTTGCACCGTGTTAGCCAGGATGGTCTTGATCTCCTGACCTCGTGATCCACCCGCCTCGGCCTCCCAAAGTGCTGGGATTACAGGGGTGAGCCACTGCACTGGCCCAGTTTTCACTAATGTTTTCTTGCAAACAATGCAGATGGAAACCATGGTTTCAATAGTGGGTCCCTGTGTGTGCCATTGATTTCTACTAAGAGCATCCTTGCCCTGGTTTGGCACAGCTCACTTGAGTGTGACTGCTAGAGACATAGAAAATGATGTTCTGCTTCGTGGTTCTTGCCTCATTTGAGCCTGCCATGTTGTGTGCAAGGCAGACCAGAGAAATGTTGCATTCTCTTGGCTTCAAGAATTTGTATGTAGAGCGATTCTAGATTCTTGACAATAGCAAATACTGAGCTTCAGAGGAGGAAACAAAAAGAGGGAAGGCTTAATTTCTTGATGAACGAATTACACAATACTTTGATAAAAAAAAAAAAATAGAATTGGAAAGAAGTAAAACATCACCAGATAAAGCCAAAATGTCTTTAGGAAGCTGAGTCAAATTAGGAAAGAAAAATAAATTGGTCCAAAACTTATGATTAAAATATTCACAGGTAGCTTGTGAGTCAAAACAGATTCCTCAGCATTGTTATTCCATTAAGAAAATAAGAAACATAATGAAAAAAGAATGTAAAATATGTCACTATGAACTGATTCATAACTTAATTCACAAACTGTCTCAAATTACTTTAAAGCATCAGCATAGATGGGCAGGAAAATTCTACCTTGCTGGTTTTCAAAATATTGTTCAAAAGTCATAATTCCCTTAGTAACATGTAGTTATAGTGAAGTGAAGGTGTTACCAGTGGATATCCGATATGTCATTTACTGGCATCAGTATGGGGGAACTAAATGTTTTTTGTTTGTCTGTTTTCTGTAAGATCCAGGTTCATTTTTCCTTCTAGGAAATTTGGCATGAGTATCAACTAACTCACTGGGGGACACGTCACAAAAAATGGCTATGGCAGTTTATGTTATAATTTCTGAGTAAACCTTAGCAATTTTTCCAGAGCAGTCTATCAGTTAGAAAAGCAAAAAAGAGCAAAAAGATTTATTTTCTTGTTTTCCTCATGAGGATACCAACAAATTCAAAACATCCTGGCGGGAATTCTTTTGAAATTAGGAAGAAACCCAAGCATCTGGGGTTCCCCAAACTCTGAAGTGCCCAAATTAGACTAGGCTCTTTTTTTTTAATGGCTTTAAAATCAATATTAATGACCAAAATCAACATTAATGAGAAATCTTTCATTTATGCAGTGCCAAATCTGATGAGGGCAAATCATTTCACAGGTGCTGCTTTAATGTTCTCTTCAAGTCTTTGTGGAAAGGTAGATGCTCAGTTTTGCAAATGAGTGATTTGAAGCAGAGAATGCAAGACACTGGTCCCCATCAAATTCAAAACCAGAGGCCATAATTTCACATTTCCCACTTAGTTCACAATCTCTCAGACACGACACTTGCTGTATGTCTTGGTGAGACTCCAGATGCTTCACTGATGAACTCTGGTTACCATCATGTCCCATTAGCGAGTCCTCTTAAAGGACTTCCCATCCCAGTTAAAGCTCATCTGTTTCTCTTTTCCAAATAGAATTCCGATGTACAGACTCTTGATAGAAGCTATTCTCTTTATTTTCCTAATGTACGTGTATGTCTGTGAGTGGAGTGGAATAGAAGTAGATTTTCTACTTAATTGCAGAAATATATGTCAAAAAAATCAAACAGTACAGAGGTGTATAGAATAAAAAGAGAACATTGTTTTTTCCTGGCCAATCCTGGTTCCCAGTGGAAGCATTGTAAGAACTTGGAGGATATTCTTCTAGACCTTTTTTTCTGCGGTATGCAAACCTAAGTGGTCTATGTGTCATTATTTTAAATCAGTGGTTCTCAACCAGGGGTGATTTTGCTCTCCATCTCTACTCACAGGGGACATTTGGCAATGTCTGGAAACAGTGTTGGCTGTGATAATTGTAGGAGTGAGGTGGTGTGCTGCTGGCATCTAGTGGGTAGAGGCCAGTGATGCTGCTAAACATCCTACACTGCACAGGACAGGCCCCACAACAGTTATCTGGCTCAAAGATCAGTAGTGCCAAGGTTGAAAAACCTTGTTTTAAACACAAGTGAGTTAAGTATGCATACAATTTTTCAATTTATTTTCAGTCCCCATGTTATGGATATTTTTTCAAGATCAGTCCATGTTGGTATTCTGATTTGAAAAAATGATTGCTGAATAGTCATTGAAAGGCTGAATGTGTTAATATAATTATATATTCATCCAAGTCCTTAAGATGGACTTGATATTGCTTTTAACATTTTGCTATTATGAAGAGCACTGCAATGAATATCCTTACATATATTTCTTTGTTCATACATAGAAATATTTTTGTAAGATAAATTCTTAGATGCTGAACTGTTCATTCAAAGGGTACACGTATTTTGATTTTGAGAGCTACTGTGGTCACTAAAAGGTTTTGGCAATTTAGAAGACGAGCCATTCATTATCAACACCTGTCCTCAAAATAAGACTTGGGACCTGCATTTCAGAAACTAGGATCCATCCTTGTCAAGCTGGAAATGAATTTATTTGCAAAGGAATTCCATTGGTCTGGGGAGAAATTTCTCCTTCAGACTTTCATGGGACAGGAGATAAAGAATGCAAAATAATCAGCTAGATTTGGCCTAGTACCAGCTGTCAAGAAGGTGTGAGAGCCTCCGATGGGACAGTCTTCAAGGGCTGCTACCCCAGGCCTCACCTGCCCTAGATTGTTTCCGAAGGAGGAAAAACTTCCCCCGGTGCCTGGGTGACCTCCTTGGAAGCACAACAAGGGGAACGGCCCCCTCCTCCGCCTTGAGGCCAAGCTAGCCTCCTGCCAACACCGTCAGCAACCTCCAGCCTCCTTGGGCCACCGTGTAGGAAACTGGGGCCCCTTCTTCCCTCTGAAGTTTCCTGTTTCTTTGTATGGAACACAACAACAAAATGGGTCCTCGAGTAAATGGTCAGAATCTTGTTTTGAAAAAGTGGAGAGCAAGGGATTCATCGTCCTGCTCTAATTTCCATGTTGCCTTTGTTCCCCCGGCCCAGTTGACGGGGCTGGGACTTCCCCCTGCATCCTAATGAAGGACGATGAAACAGGCTAACTCTTGGGGCACAATGCTCACACTGCGGGCTCTGACACGCCTTGGAGCAAAACAAATCGACCTCCACCAATTAAAGAAAAATGGTGAATCTGGATTCATTTGGGTTTTGGAGTCTCTGAAGGTTCCCACTGGCCTGTCCCAAGGCCTGGGAAGAAAAGAGCTCAGGCTGAGAGGCACACTTTATGCTTTAGCTTCAAAGGGGAGACCCGCGCTTCTCATCAGAATAAACAATTAGGAACTTTGGGGTGTTCATGAAAACATGAAGCCGAACCAGTGAGAACGTACTGAGACCCCTAGTGGGTAAACTAACATCTCTCCCATCACGGACAGATGCATATACTGCAGGCTAGGTGGAATTACTGCAAATTATTTTGAGATCTCTGAGGGTGAGGCATTTAAAAATGGAATTTTTACTGCCTTTTTTCACAGTTCTAAGACCTCTCTTATCCTTAATACACAGAAGGCAGGTGCATCTTTGTCCATCATGAGATGGTACGCCCCAAGGTGAAGAATCACCTTAGAATCTGTGGCCAGAAAAACCTTGGTTTGACACTGAGTCTTCAATTAACTAGTCAGGTGGTCTTGAGCGAGTCATTTAGCTCCTATGAGCCTCACTTTCCCCATTTATAACCTCCAGAAAAATAATACCAAATTCCTCTTAGGGTGTTTGTAGGGAGGGGATGAGATGATCCACATAAGGCACTGAGTTGAGTAATAGGAGCCATCCCACTGTTTCTGATTCCACATTACGGCCATTTAAAAGTATGGCAGAAAGTAAGGGATTCCCTGGATAAGGGACTAGGGCAACAACACTAGTTTCTACAATCTGGACAATTATGACATAACTTTCTCAAAGTCCTAGGATTTCAGAAAACTCTCCCAAGACTTTCTGAGTTTCCTTTGCAAACCTCCTCAAGCCATTGCTAAACACTAAATATTGCCACCACTGCACCAACATACAGGCAAGAAAGATCTGTTTTTAAAAGGACAAGTAGGTGGTGCCAGTGTCACTGTTGTAAAGAAATACTGAATCCCAGGAAAAGACACCCACATTAGGCATGTTGAATGCTGAGGCTTGGTAACCTGGACAGCCTTGGGAGGGAGCTGTTAGAAATGACAAATAGAGTAATGATGGGGAGAAACTAGATTCGGACACTCCAGAGCAGGTTGCTCAAAGCATCATGTTATCTGGCCAGCCTCCCTTTTTCTCATGGGGTTTTATTGGTCACTTATTTAGTGTGGGCTGTGTCAGTCCCCTGCTGGTCATTTTGGAGACAAGACTTCAGAGTAACATTTTGGTATTTTGTTAAACGGACAGGGAGAAGAAAAAAAAAAAGGAGCAATCAAGACTTCAGAGTAACATTTTGGTATTTTGTTAAAGGGGCAGGGAGAAAAACAAAGGCTCAATCTGTCTTGAGAGGGTATGAAGGGCATAGGGCTAATTCCATGGAGAACAGTCCCAAGGAATCCGTGGCTATTACCCGCATGTACTTGATAGCCCAGAGCCTTTGCAGACTGGAGGAGCCCAGGAAGACCATTAGCTAGTGGGCCACTGTCTTCTTACACATTACCTGGGTCTCTCATCTACTTACCCTCCCTAATATGAAATGAATCTGTAATGTCCTCCTTGGTGTGTTCAGAGGGATGCCATCCCATTTGGATTTAGATCCAAAAAACAAAAGCTGCCACTGAACATAGTAGAAGCTGCCCTTTTATAGTTACCAAGGTGTGTGTGTGTGTGGGTGTGTATGTGTGTTTTTTTTTTTAATTTTGGGGAAAAGTTTTCTTTTCAATTAGATCAATCCTTGTGAGATGAGCTTGGGTCTACCTAGCCCAAGTGACATCTTAGTATGAACTATCCTGGGCTCCATGGGCCTTGACCAAAACATTGCTATGTCTCATGCAGGGCAAGAGGCTTAGGGGTTCTGACATAAGGGGTGTATTTTGCTACTCAGGAATTATTTCAGCATGGACAGCATTCTAGCCAAATACCTAGGCTAGAGCCAAATACCAAAGTGAAGCCATGTAAACAATGCAGCAAGACTACCTCCAAGAGCTGGGAACAGAGCACCCATCAGTGTTGAAAGGGCCAGACCCACCATTGCTTTGCTAACGCTTTGCTTACGCTTTGCTTGCACCTGTCTGCTTCTTGCCAAGGGCCTTTTGGCTTTTGCTTTGGCAGATGAGGTCACTGAGACAGGACTTAACATGGCAGGCAGATTGTATTTGGGTTCTGGGTTAAGAGGTAATTCATTAGAACTGGGATGGACTGTCTACCTACTAAGGGTTGAAAGAGAAGGGTGCTCATCATCACTGGCCATCAGAGAAATGCAAATCAAAACCACAATGAGATACCATCTCACACCAGTTAGAATGGCGATCATTAAAAAGTCAGGAAACAACAGGTGCTGGAGAGGATGTGGAGAAATAGGAACACTTTTACACTGTTGGTGGGACTGTAAACTAGTTCAACCATTGTGGAAGAGTGTGGCGATTCCTCAGGGATCTAGAACTAGAAATACCGTTTGACTCAGCCATCCCATTACTAGGTATATACCCAAAACATGCTGCTATAAAGATGCACACACACGTATGTTTATTGCAGCACTATTCACAATAGCAAAGACTTGGAACCAACCCAAATGTCCAACAATGATAGACTGGATTAAGAAAATGTGGCACATATGCACCATGGAATACTATGTAGCCATAAAAAAGGATGAGTTCATGTCCTTTGTAGGGACATGGATGAAGCTGGAAACCATCATTCTCAGCAAACTATCACAAGGACGAAAAACCAAACATGCATGTTCTCACTCATAGGTGGGAATTGAACAATGAGAACACTTGGACACAGGAAGGGGAACATCACACACCAGGGCCTGTTGTGGGGTGGGGGGAGTAGGGAGGGAAAGCATTAGGAGATATACCTAATGTAAATGATGAGTTAATGGGTGCAGCACACCAACATGGCACATGTATACATATGTAACAAACCTGCACGTTGTGCACATGTACCCTAGAACTTAAAGTATAGAAAAAAAGTATATAAAAAAAAAAAAAAGAAAGAGGAGGATACAAACAGTGAGAGCATAGCACAATTAACTTCTGTTGGAAACAAGTATCCCTGACATTATGGGACCCAAGACAGACACCAGCCTGTTGGCAATGGTTATAGAACCCCACATTTCCTTAAAGGTATCTGCCTTGTGGGACATTTACCACTTGTCCCTCCCCTTGCAGGGCATTAACTACATGTCCCTCCTCCTGTGTCAGAAAATGAAAGCTTCCTCTTTGCAAAATGCAAGGTATTCTTGTTGGTATCCATGTACTAAAGCAATAGTCATTATTCTCTCTATCGTTAATATAGGCCAGGCTCTGGGCTTTATGTGACGTGACCCATTTATTTGTCTCAATGTTCCCATGTAGTAGATACTTTGATTACCTGCACTTTACAGATTCATCCAGCTAGACATTTTTGAGTGTCTATGAGGTACCAGGCACTGGGGAAATAAGGCAGGGCTATCCAGTATATATTTTCCCCTCCTTTTGACAAAGCTATGGAACAATTCCAATCTTAGCCCTTTCCTAGTCTTTAGAAGAATGTTACATGCCATGCAGTTTCCAGCTACAGCTTCTTCTAGCAAGGCTTTTGGTAATAGTGATGGTGATGATGAAAGTTATTACATGCTTCCAGTATGCCAGGAACTGGGTGGGATCTCCTAGGACTCAAATGTGCCTAGCAGCCGAGGAATCTTCTGCAAGTTCATTCTCTTCATCCCCAAGGCTAAACAGAACAGAAATGCCCAGCTCAGGCCATTTCTTATAGTTTGAGAAGTTGGCTATGAATACCACTGGGGAACATTTCCCCCAGTAGTTTAGAGTTATCACCCACCCCCAAGGAGCTGAAGCAGAAATCTTCTGAGATTTGGGGAAGCCCCAAGAAAACTAATGTTACCAAGCAGATTCAGTAGAGGATGGTGAAGTTTCTAACACATACATAGGCTACCCATCTACACTGTCAAATGGGAATGTGTCAGGTTGATTTTGAAGAAGAAATACAATGACTAGGACTTTTCAAAAATTTTCCAAGTTGACCTGTCTCTTAGGCACAGGCAGTTTCAGCTGTCTAAATAAATAGGCCATCCAAATACCGGAAAAGTGGTATCCGAAAGACATAGTGTACCATGCCCAAGGACAATACTGATTAAGATCAAATAGCTAATTGTAAGCCTCAGCCTCTAAATTGCTGCCGGATGAAAAAATAACAGTGTGTGCAATCCAAGCATAATTTCACATAGAGAGAGAATGAGAATTTCTCATTCACACCCCCAGAGGGCTGGAAAACATCAGGGGGGAAGAATTCCATTGGCTGGAAAGGGATCAAAAGAGTTTTCAGTGGGGATTACATCACCAGTTGGTGTCATTATTCCTGGTTGGTGAAGACCTTCCTGGGAGTAAAAAATATTTGGTTTGGTCCAGAGACACAAAACTCAAATATAAGCTGAACAGGAAAAAATGAGGAAGAGAAGAGAGGCCATGTGATGCTGTCTGTAAGAGCTGGCCTCATGTTAAGTAGATTTCCAGGATGAACAATGCCCTGATGAGAAAGTTAATGCCTTTTCTAAACAGAACCAAAATTCTGTCACAAGTTGTTTCCTTGATTTTGGTGACAAGTGACAATGGGCGGATGCCAAGAGTATGCTAAGAATTGAGACAAACATCTCTCCATCCCTGGCCCTTACTACCAGTTAGATGACAGTCATCAATTTTGCTGACTCTGGATCTGTTTCCTTTGCTGGAACTCTCAGATAATCTTATAGCTCCAAAACCCAGCTCATATCAGAGAAACAGAATAGTACCTGCCTGACTTGGTTTTTAGCTCAGGTGGTATCTGGCAATCATAAATATTTCATTAACATAACATTTGCAAAAAAAGAAATACATGTTTTGTATGTATAGTTTTGTAAATCACTGCAAACTCTTTCTGAAAGCAAGCAGGGTACAAATAATTAAAGTAAAATAAAATAATTTGGAAGCTGAACAAGAACAATAAAAAAATAGAGCATTAGATGGGATAGAGATTAAAAGAAAGTGAATGAACACACATTCATCTGGGGGTGCAACCATTGCTGATTTTATTCTAACATCTACTCCTTTCTTCCCCTTATCTAAGGATGGGTGCTGAGAAAATGTTGTTCACTTCAGTTTTATAAATTATAGAAATGTTGATTTTTCAAATATTATATCTTTCTAAAAAGTAGATCATTCTCCCTTTCCTGAAAAGAAAAAGGTAGCTGGACTTGATTATGTTTACCATTTCTGTGCATGCTAACCCAGCTGTCTTGTACTTTTATGCTCCTTCTACCCTGTCTGAGGCTTTCTTTGGCTCTCAGGGTGCACAGGCTCCTATAGGTGGGCAAATGGGAGGTATGAAGAGTTAATGTTCATCTCATCATCCTTCAACAAATGATTAATGACAAGTGGTAGGTAATAACTCATATCCCTTCCTCTGTGAGTAGGATAATGATGAGACATGCTCCACACTGTCTCCCAGAGTTTCTGAACATCATTCAGCCTCAGTAATCCCCTGTGGTAACCTCCTTGATAATGCAGTCTTATCTCCTTTCTCATTTATAATAATCCCCATCTCATTTCCCTCACTCCACTGTTGGTTCTTCCTAAGATTGTCACCTAAATGAACTACTTGCACTCAAAGCCTTGTCGAACAGGCGGCTTCTAGGAGAACCCAACCTAAGACACCTCATGAAGGTGTTTCCTTGAGGAGCTAACTTAATAGAGGTCTACAGCTTTGTATTAGTCATGGTTCTCTAAAGAAACAGAACTAATAGAATTTATATAAATATGTGTATACACACACACATACACACAAAGTATTGGCTCACACAATTATGGAGGCTGAGAAGTGCCATGATATGCTGTCTACAAGCTGGAGACCAGGAAAGCCAGTGGTGTAATTTGAAGGCTGGAGATCCAATAGTGTAGACTTCAGTAAGCATCTGAAGGCCTAAGAACCAAGAGTGCTGAGGGCAGAGATGGATTCCCCCTCAAGCATTCAGGCAGAGAGATAACCCAAATTATCCCTTCCTGCACCTTTTTATTCTATTCTGGCCCTCAACAGATTGGATGATGCCTGCCCACACTGGGGGAGAGCAATCCTTTTTACTCGTTCTACCAATTCAAACACCAATCTCTTCCAGAAACACCCTCACAGACATGCCCAGATATAATGCTTAACAAGATATCTGGCATTTCATGATCCAGTCTAGTTGACACATAAAATTAAGTACCACAGTCAGGTAGATCACCATCTAGTTGTTTCTCTAAACTATTAGAGAAGCCTTTGATCAATGCTGACTAACATATATTTTAGGGTTGCATTATCTGAAGGATACTCAAAATATGAATCATCTGTATTGCTGATTTTAAAAAAAAGTTAGATCTAAGAATTGATATTCTGTACACACACGTGTGCACATGCACAAGCTCTTCTCTGTGTGTAAGAGCAAGTTTAGTCCATTGTAGGTTCATGGGAGTGAGTGGAGACTGCAGTGTTATTTGTGGAGAGAGCCAACAATACTTCCCAGAGGATTTGGTATCTTCTGAAGGGTTTGTTCAAACTGAAGGGTTTGAAACATGCTATGCAGCATGTTTGAAAATGGCTGCTCCTATCATAAAGAAGTGCCTCTGGGTCTCTTCTAATTGTCTCATCTCTTGTAATTGTGCCCTGATCAATTGTCCACACTGCATTAACTACACAAATGTGCCCTGGTTAAATGGTGATCTCTGCATCAACAGTTCTATCTAGTACCACAGGGAGAACACAAATAGGATAAAACTGGGAGCTCCAATTCCAACAAATCTCCAATGATTATTCTCAGCAGAAGCATTTAAATTAGAATTTGGTTCCGTTTAACTCAGCATTCTACCTGTAGATTAAGAAATTTCTTTTCAGACAGCACGGCAGGCTAAGTGGTATGAACCCACTGCAATTAATTGCACCTGATGAAATCTTTGCTACAATCCGACTACAGTCAACTTCTGGGGTTGGCTAGTATTTGCTGAGACCCTGCACCTCATTCAAATTCATCTAAGGACCCATGGTTACCTTTACTGTATTCATTGGTTCACAACTTATCCTCTGATGTAATTATAGAAGCAAAGTTAAGAAAGGTACTAGCCACTTAGTAAGAATTGGTGCAAGTGAAAAAAAAATTATATATGTATTTATTCTCCCTACTCTTGCTCTCTCTCTGTCTTTCTCCTTTTCTGGTCAGAATGAATTGAGTTGGCCCAAAGAAGTAAAATTGAATTTCCTGCAGTGACATCCCTTCAAGTACTAGTTGGAACTATTAACTCTCTTTTTTGATTGAAAAAGATTGTGTTGGGTAAAAATCTGACCTGGGGAATAAGTAAGTGGAAGGAAAGCCCCAAATCTTTTTTTTTTTTTTTCTGTTAAGTGTTTAAGTGAAGCTAGAGAGAGCCTTGAGAAGTATAAAGCACCTTAGTAGAATATCTTGAACTGGCATCTCTTCTATTTCAGGGTTTAAATAAAAAATTTCTATATTAAACATATAGAAAAACATCTTCTAATGGCTTATTCAGCTGGGCACAGAGGAGGCACTCATTAAATGTGTGAAGATCTAAGAAAATGAATCAAATCAATAGTTAATAACACTTCATCATTCTGTGTGACATGCTGGACTTCTGAAAGGCAAAGCAGTGCTTGAACTCTTTGGCTTCTAGGGGCTTTTTGTAGCTCTCATCTCCAACTTTGAACTTATGGCTTGGAGACTTAAGCAAAAGGAAAAGACATATATTCATGCAAGGCTGGTGTATCATATTAAAATTCTAGATTCATTCATTCATTATAGACAGGCATACACTGGTGGATAGCAATAAATGAAAGAAGAGGTCTGTTGTCTCATCACAGCTAGGATCTACTCCTAAGTTTTGTGTTTATCAGAGGATATGGAGGGGGCCTCCACTCCCAGGTTAGGAATGAAGAGTATGGACTTCCTTTTCACACATTTAATATTATTGATTTTACTGGAGGGCATAGAAAATGGTGTCATGAGTGTGTACTGAGGAACCACTTTTCCTGAAAATAACTCCACATTTTCCTGATATAGTTACTCCCTGATATCACTATCATCATGTCCACTTCCTATAGAATTTATGGACCTGGTCATCTCAGCTACTTTTATGTCGAGTATGACAGTCACATAGGTGAGAAAAGGATGTCACTTTACTTGCTTTGAATCCACTAAAATCCATCTCTCAGACCTGTAATTCAGGCTCATGAAAAAGGCAGTCGCTGTCATTCTTGGGACCTCCTCTGTGCCCCAGACTTGTAAAAAGGTTACTTGCTTTACACAGACAGCACCAAATCATCAGAGGGAATCATCTCATGGCAGATTTTAGGTACATGCTGTTTTGTTAGGGAAGCCCAATGTCTTAGACTACCTAATTCTTTCAGGTAAAACATCTTGGCTGGTGTGGGGCTGGCCTGGAGCCCAAGGCGAGCATATTTGTGGAGGTTGGAAGTCCTCTCACGAGGACCTGGCCTCTACTTGCTTGGCCAATCATACTCCCCAAGATCTTTTCACTGCCTAGGAGTGCTGCACACAGACCCTGATACCCAGGGTTAAGACAGCTACCTCTTTGTGATATCATCCCCTCCAGGAGTGAGACTGAGGGAAGGCATGAGGGACCTTGATGTCTAGGGCTAAGAAAACAGCAGAGTTGTCTCAGGTTAGTTTTTTCCCCAAGCAGTCCCTGAGTCACGTGCTTGGGTCCAACTGATTTATCAAAGGAAGCACTCCCAGGATCAACCAGTAACAGAGCTGGGGAAGCAAGATAAGAATGGGGATGGAATCAAGCAAGAGTGTTTTCAACTGAACTCCCAGACTCAACCTGATCTCATGGGCTCTGAGGGGTATAAATTACACCTCCAGGAACACTGTTTGGGCTTGTAAACTTCCATATCCATCAGTCATTGCCTACAGGCAACCCTGGGGTGGGCCTAGGGGGACAAAAATCTCCTAGATATTTTTCAGCTCATATGAGGTACACATATGAAGTACAGGGTGGTGGCCATGCCCAAGGGCAGTCCTCTGAAGGTTGTAAGTGCCGGTTCTCAGCTGCAAAGCACTCATGTAGAAGTTGAGGAATGGGTGCCTTGAGCTGGCAAAAGAATCTGGGAGACTTAAGTGTTCATTGTAGAGCCATTCCAAAGCCATCACATATGCTTCTGTAAACTGACATGACAGTTTACATGAGAACCACCTCATACAGTTGCCTGGAGGAAAAAAAACAAAAATAAGAAAGGTCTTTCTTTAAATATTTATCTGAAACAATATCCCAGAGAAATGCACCTTTGATTCCTATTTTTTGTTCATGCAATAGCATGTAAGGGCATGCTAAACCTAGTGTGTTTCTGTCTCCAGGATGAGTCCTGAAAGTAGCATGGCAATGTGCTATTTATTATTAATCACAGAATATTTCACTTAGTGAAGCAGGACCTTGATGCTCCTTCAGGCCAGAAATGCAAATATTTTAAATTCTCATTTGGCTTTGCACCAAAAAAAACCCATCCCACTGAAGATAAATGAAACACTCATTAAAAACTCAAATAGGAAAGAATCATGAATCAGTTCAATGGCGAGACACAAAGGTTTCTAAAAAGAGAATGAGTAGGAAAAAAAGATTGTTTTGAAATCTGACCCTGGGGAGGAGCTCTGATGAGGTGCAGATGGCCTATGTACCCACCAGGTAGATGTCTAAACTGGGAGGGCAAGTCTTAGAATTCACATAAAAAGCATCATAGGAGATAGTGTGGCTTTGGGAAGTACAGAAAATAAATGAGAGGTAAGGGAGTAGTTGTTTGATGTAGGATGCAATTGAAGGCTTTATTGTGCAGGATTAAAAGATACGAATGTACAGACACCGTGGTTGGCACCCAGAAGTGTGATCAACACCTTGGAATGAGGTATGGAAGGCCGTCGTGGGTAGACATTACCAGGAGCCCAGAAAATGGAGTGGAATATTGCATTATGTTTGAATAGGCCCAACAATGGGCTTTTGTACTTCCCTGTGGGGTTTTCTTTAAGATATATTTGGGAAATTGGCATTTAAAGGCAGTTGGGTGCTTTGTGAACAAAGGCAAGTAAGGGAAAAGGAAACTGTGCTATTTCAGTTACTTCTCAGAACAAGCCCAACCAGGTAAGTGTTATCCTGCTTTACAGATGAGAAGAGCAAGGCTTGGGGACATTATGTAATTTTTCCAAACCCTAGTTCATTAAGTGGAAGAATGAATATATTTAACCCTTTATCCCTTCCACCCACCAACAAATATTTATTGAACACCTACTATACGCTTGCTCTGGACACTGGGGAACCAAATGATTATCTGAACCCATATCTATCTGATCCTGAAGGCCATTCTTTTTCCATTAGAGTCTAGTGAATAAACTCATTTAAATAATTTCATAGAAAATTATATTACTCTATGATTAGACAAGATATTAAAGAGATTTTTATGGGGTGGTGAGACTATGGGAACACATAAAAATAGGCATGAAAGACTGAATAATGCTAGATTTAGACACTTGGCAGGGAAGACCCAAGCCATTTTGCTTGATAGGTACTTAACCCCAGAAACAACAAAAATAATAACAAAATTTTACAGTCACATTTTCTGATTATAGAACTTTGGAAAAAATTATAAAGAAGCAAAATTTATTTTTAATGTTATAAGCCAGAGATAATAACTGTAATTATTTTAAAGTATGTTCTAGTTTCTCCCCCAACCCTTGGCTGCTTCATATTTAGCTGGCTTTGAACTTTGTGAATCTGTAGGTTGATGTCTTTCACCAGTATGGGAAAAATTTTAGCTATTATTTCTTTGCATATTATTTGTACTCCATTTTCTGTCCCTTCTCTTTCTTGGATGCCAATTACATTTATTTTTTAGCCTTCTCACTCTATCCCCTATGTCCCTTATTTTTTCCCATGTATTTTAAATCTTTTTGTCTCTTTTTGCTTCATTCTGAGTTTTTTTAAGCCATCTTTTAGTTTACTAATACTCTTCAGTGGTATCTGATTTGCTATTAAACTTATCTACTGAGCTTTAAATTCCTGCCATTATACTTTTCAGTTCCATGTGTTTCCTTTGTTTATTTTTTTAAGGTTTCCAGTCTTCTGCTCAATCTTGTTTTATTTCCTCGAACATATTCAGCATAGTTATTTTTGAGTAGTGTTAGATAACAACATTATCTGTATTCTTTATAAATGTGTTTCTATTGTCTGTATTTCTCTTGATTTTCAGTCTTGCCTTCTGTCTTAGTCAGTTTGGGCTGCTACAAGAGAATACCATAGACTGGGTGACTTAAACAACAAACATTTATTTCTCACAGTTCTGGAGGCTGGGAAGTCCAAGATCAAGGCGTCAGAAGATTCATTGTCTGGTGAGGGCTTGCTTCAGATGCTGACTTCTTGCTGTATCCTCATGTGGCAGAAGGAGGGTGGGAGAGCTCTCTGGGTTCTTTTTTACAAAGTCACTAATCTCGTTCATGAGGGCTCCACCC
This sequence comes from Homo sapiens, assembly GCF_000001405.40. Taxonomy (NCBI): domain Eukaryota; kingdom Metazoa; phylum Chordata; class Mammalia; order Primates; family Hominidae; genus Homo; species Homo sapiens. The sequence continues at coordinate 35,451,767 of NC_000011.10, read as the reverse complement.
TCATGAACTAATCTACTCCCAAATGCCCCACATCCTAATACCATGATATTGGGGATTTGGATTTCAATATATGAATATTGGAGGGACACACACATTCAGTACATTGTACCTTCTATTGGATCCTAACTCAGAAGCATCACTTGGCTCTATCCTGATGACATTCCGTAAGCAATAACTTAAAACCAAATAATGGTTCTCATAGTTCTCCATTCTAAGATCTCATCAAGTTAAAGTTGTACCATTGATTTAATTATAGCTTTTCTGGGTTTGTGAGGAAGGAAATACTACATGAAAAGTACACATCACATGTGATTTGATTTCAGAAATGCCAGATTATAAAAGAATACACATCTAAGCATTATGGAAATATAGCTATATTCCTTGGGCAGAGGTGTTTGTATGTCCTGATTCAGTTTCTCTTGAAGTCTTCTTTTAAAGTCTGTTTAGTGAAAGAAACAAAGGATCTAAATTGTTCTCAATCTCTGTTACTTTCAAGGGCTCAAAAACTCTCTAAAGTTTCTGCTAGTTAAATCCACATTAAATATAGTAGAGCTACAAGCCATTAGAACCCTGCATTTGGAAAGTAACAGAGTGGGAGCCTAGTGGACCATGAAAGCACTTCCTTCCAAGGGCAGAAAAACCCAACTGTCAGGCTTACCTGTCAAAGCCAACAATAGAAAGGATTTCTTATCCTCTGCTGAGGCAGATGTGGCTAGAGTACAGTTCATTTTCTCTCAGTATTCCAAGACTGGTCTTAAATATCACTCAATCTTTCTTGGCCATGAGCTCTAGCTAGCAATGGTCAAAATCGATGGGGAGCTCCACTTAATTTACACAAATTGTAGCCCTTTAATAGGCTAATTGGCTGCAGATTCACATGCCTGCTAGAAGTAGGCAGCCCTTGGGGGCTGTGAAGAATAGGGCTCTCTTCTAAGCAAAGACACTTTTCAACTCCAGTTGATTATTGCTATATGGGAATACAGGCCCAGGATTTCAGATCTGAATTATGTTAGAAACGAATAATATAGATTTTTAAATGAAATCTCCCAATTTTTATGTCTGCAACGAATTCCATTTTATAAAACTTTCAAGCATAACATATTATGTTTTTGAGACAATTTCAGTCTGTGGGCCCCAGTGGGTGCTTACTAAGCTCAATTTTCAGAATGAATGAATCTGTGCTATTAGAAGCTACCACCATCAGTGAAGCAACATGGACTGCTTTATCTGCCTTTTCCTCCCACATCATGGAGGCATTTCTGAAAATGTAAGCACTGGAGTTTTGTGAGTCCACTTGAAGCATTAAGAAACCCATTACCCTTTTTATACCATCACAGTATTTTTAAACAGCTTACTCAGTGGGGTCCCTTTTTTATACTTATTAATAAAATGGGGGCTTTGGATTCATTTGCCAGAAAAAAATGCTGATATTACATAGTCCAAAGGCATACAGAGTGTCATTGAGATTAACTTACGCATAGTCTATGGACGGTCTTAGAGTGGACAAACCGGTGATTTGGCTAATTGTTGCAGCCTTGCCAAGTTGCACATAGGAAAGTTATTTATTTTTAATTCTCAAATATTTTAGAGGTGTTATCTGAATAGAGATTTTTTTTTTTTTTTTTTTTTTTTTTTTTTGCCTGGAGGCAGCCAAGTAAGTTTCTTGGAAGGCAATTGGGACAGTTACAGGAAAGAAAGCTTATCAAATGCATAATTGTGGGGGCCAAGATGGCTGATTAGAAGCAGCTCTAGCCTGTGGCTCCCACTGAGAAAAATGAAAATGGCAAGTGAATCCTGCACTTTCAGCTGAGGTATCTAGGTTCTCTCATTGAGACTGACTAGGTGGTTGTCATGACCCATGGAAAGCAAGGAAAAGCAGAGTGGAGTGATGGCCCAGCCGGGAGCTGCATGGAGTAAGGCAAACTCCCACCCCAGCCAAAGGAGGCAGTTAGTGATGTGCTACCCTGCCAGGGAAACCACAATTTTGCCATGGATCTGTGCAACCCACAGATGAGGAGATCCCCTTGTGAGCCCATGCCACCAGGGCCTTTGGTCTCAAGCACAGAGCTGTGCAGTCTCTCGGAGGCTGCTTGGGTTGTGGCCAGTGGCAGCAGGCTGGAGACTGCCTAAGATGACCAAGTTCCCAGGGGGAGGGGAGGCAGCCATCACTGCGGTTTCAGTTGGCCATTTTCCCCTGCTGGTCCAGAAAGATCGGACGGTTTGGACAGAGAAGAATTCCTCACAGTGCAGCACAGTAGCTGTGGCAGATTGTGGCCAGACTGCTTCTTTAGGTGGGACCTGGATCCATCCCTCCTCACTGGGTGGCACCTCCCTTCAGGAATTCCGGCAACTCCAGCCAGGGGTTTACGGACAGAACCCCAGTCTTCCTGGGACAGAGCCTCTGTGGGGAGGCGGTCATGATCTCCTGTTCAACACACTTAGTTTTTCCTGCTTGCTGGCTCTGAGGTGGCCAGTGGGACAGATCCTCTGTGGGGAGGCAGTCATGATCTCCTGTTCAACACACTTAGTCTTTCCTGCTTGCTGGCTCTGAGGTGGCTGGTAGTCCAGACGAGTGGGATTTCCCCCAGTGCAGTGCACCTGCTCTGCCAAGGGGCAGCCAGATTGCTTCATTAAGCAGGTCCCTGATCGTGCCTCCTGACTGGGTGGAACCTCCCAACAAGGGTGGCCAGACACCTCATACAGGAGAGTTCCAGCTGGCATCAGTTTGGTGCCCCTGTGGGATGGAGCTCCTGGAGGAAGGAGCAGGCAGCCATCTTTGCTTTGCTGCAGCCTCCACTGGTGATATCTCCAGGTGTGGGAGGGACCCAGGTGAATAGAGTCTGGAGTGGACCTCCAGCAAACGGCAGCAGCCCTGCAGAAGAGGGGCCTGGCTGTTAAAAGAAAAACAGAAAGCAACAACAACATCAACAAAAAAGACCCCACAAAAATCTCATCCAAAGGTCAGCAGCCTCAAAGATTGAAGGTAGATAAACCCATGAAGATGAGAAAAAATCAACATAAAAGTGCTGAAAATTTAAAAAGCCAGAGCGTCTCTTCTCTTCCAAATGATTGCAACACCTCTCCAGCAATGGCACAGAACTGGGCTGAGGCTGAGATGGATTAATTGACAGAAGTAGGCTTCAAAAGGTAAGTAATAATGAACTTTGATGAGCTAAAGGAGTAAGTTCTAACCCAATGCAAAGAAGCTAAGAATCATGATAAAACACTACAGGAGCTGTTAACCAGAATAATCAGTCTAGAGAGGAACATAAATGACCTGATGGAGCTGAAAAACACAGCATAAGAACTTCACAATGCAACCACAAGTATCAATAGCTGAATAGACAAAATGGAGGAGAGAATCTCAGAACATTAAAACTATCCTGCTGAAATAAGACAGGCAGACAAGATTAGAGAAAAAAAAAATGAAAAGGAATGAACCAAACCTCTGAGAACTATGGGATTATGTAAAAAGACCAAACCTGATTGGGGTACCTGAAAGAGACAGGGAGAATGGAGCCATGCTAGAAAACATACTTCAGGATGTCATCTAGGAGAACTTCCCCAACCTAGAAAGACAAGCTAACATTCAAATTCAGGAAATCCAGAGAACCCCAGCAAGATATTCCATAAGAATGTCAACTCCAAGACACATAATCCTCAGATTTTCCAAGGTTGAAATGAAGGAAAAAATGTTAAGGGCAGCCAGAGAGAAAGGCAAGGTCACCTACAAAGGGAATGCCATCAAACTAACAGTCGATATCTCAGGAGAAACCTACAAGCCAGAAGAGATTAGGGGCCAATATTCAACATTCTTAAAGAAAAGAATTTCCAACCCAGAATTTCATATCCAGGCAAACTAAGCTTCATAAGTGAAGGAGAAATAAAATCCCTTTCAGACAAGCAAATGCTGAGGGAATTTGTCACCACAAGGCCTGCCTTGCAAGAGCTCCTGAAGGAAGCACTGAATAGTGAAAGGAAAAACTGTCACCAGCCACTACAAAAACACACTGAAGTAGACAGACCAAGGCACTATGAAACAACTACATTAACAAGTCTGCAAAATAACCAGCGAGCATCACGATGACAGGATCAAATTTACACATAACGATATTAACCTTAAATGTAAATAGGCTAAATGCCCCAATTAAAATACACAGAATGGCAAGCTGGATAAAGAGTGAAGACCCATTGGTGTGCTGTGTTCAAGAGACCCATCTCACATGCAAAGACCCAGAAAGGCTCAAAATAAAAGGATGGAGGAAGGCCAGGCGCAATGGCTCACGCCTGTAACCCCAGGACTTTGGGAGGCCGAGGCGGACAGATCATGAGGTCAGGAGATCGAGCCATCCTGGCTAACATGGCGAAACCCTGTCTCCACTAAAAAATAGAAAAAAATTAGCCGGGCGTGGTAGCAGGTGGCTGTAGTCCCAGCTACTCGGGAGGCTGAGACAGGAGAATGGCATGAACCTGGGAGGCAGAGCTTGCAGTGAGCCGAGATCGCACCACTGCACTGCAGCCTGGGTAACAGAGCGAGACTCCATCTCAAAAAAAAAAAAAAAAAAGGGATGGAGGAAAAATTACCAAGCAAATAGGAAAGCAGAAAAAAGCAGGGGCTGCAATGCTAGTTTCTGACAAAACAGACTTTAAACCAACAATATCAAAAAAGATAAAGAAGGGCATTATATAATCATAAAGGGTTCAATTAAGCAAGAAGAGCTTACTATCCTAAACATATATGCACCCAATACAGGAACACTCAGATTCATAAAACAGGTTCTTAGAGACCTAAAAAGAGACTTACACTCCCATACAAAAACAGTGGGAGACTTTAACACCCCATTGTCAATATTAGATCATCAAGACAGAAAATTAACAAAGATATTCAGGACTTGAACTCAGCTCTGGACCAAGTGGACCTGATAGATATCTGCAGAACTCTCCACCCAAAAACAAAAGAATAAACATTCTTCTTGGTGCCACATAGCACTTACTCTGAAATTGATCATATAATTGGAAGTAAAACACTTCTCAGCAAATGCAAAAGGACTGAAATAATAACAAACTGTCTCCCAGACCACAGCACAATTAAATTAGAATGCAAGATTAAGAAACTCACTCAACCACACAATTATATGGAAATTGAACAACCTGCTCCTGAACGACTCCTGGGTAAATAATGAAATTAAGGCAGAAATCAAGAAGTTCTTTGAAACCAATGAGAACAAACAGACAACATACCGGAATCACTGGGATGCAGCTAAAGCAATGTTATGAGGAAAATTTATAGCACTAAATGCCCACATCAAAAATCTACACAGATCTCAAATTGATATCCTAGCATCACAACTAAAATAACTAGAGAACTAAGAACAAACAAACTCCAAAGCTAGCAGAAGACAAGAAATAACCAAGATCACAGCAGAACTGAAGGAGATAGAGACACAAAAAATCTTTCCAAAAATCAACTAATCCAGGAGCTGGTTTTTTGAATAAAAATTAATAAAATACATAGCTAGCTAGATTAATAAAGAAGAAAAGAGAGACTAATTAAAGAATCAAATAGACACAATATAAAATAATAAAGGGGATATCACCACTAACCCCAAAAATGCAAACAATTATCAGAGAATGCTATAAACACCTCTATGCAAATAAACTAGAAAATCTAGGATAAATGGATAAATTCCTGGACACATACACCCTCCCAGGACTGAACCAGGAAGAATTTGAATCCCTGAATAGACCAATAACTAGTTCTGAAATCGAGGTAGTAATTAATAGCCTACCAATCAAAAGAAGCCCAGGACCAGATGGATTTATGGCTGAATTTTACCAGAAGTACAGAGAGGATCTGGTACCATTTCTTCTGAAACTATTCAAAACAATGGAAAAGGAGGGACTTCTCTCTAACTTATTTTATGAGGCCAGCATCATCCTGATAACAAAACCTGTCAGAGATGCAACAAAAAAACAAAACTTCAGGCCAATATCCCTGATAAACATCAATGCAAAAACCCTCAATAAAATACTGGCAAACCAAATCCAGCAGCACATCAAAAAGCTTATCCACCACGATCAAGTTGGCTTTATCCTCAGGATGCAAGGCTGGTTCAACATCTGCAAATCAATAAACATAATTCATCACATAAACAGAACTAAAGATGAAAAAACATGATTAAATAGACACAGAAAAGCCTTTGATAAAATTCAACATCCCTTCATGTTAAAAACTCTCAATAAACTAGGTAAAGCAGGAACATACCTCAAAATAAAAGCCATTTATGACAAACCCACAGCCAATATCATACTGAATGGACAAAAGCTGGAAGCATTCCCATCGAAAACTGGCACAAGAAAAGGATGCCCTCTCTCATCACTCCTATTCAACACAGTACTGGAAGTTCGGGCCAGGGCAATCAGGCAAGAGAAAGAAATAAAGTGTATTCAGACAGGAAGAGAGGAAGTCAAATTTTCTTTGTTTGTGAATGGCATGATCCTATATCTAGAAAACCCCATCGTCTCAGACCAAAAGCTTCTTAAGCTGATAAGCAACTTCAGCAAAGTCTCAGGACACAAAATCAATATACAAAAATCATAAGCATTCCTATACATCAACAACAGACAGGCAGAGAGTCAAATCATGAATGAACTCCCATTCACAATTGCCACAAAGAGAATAAAATGCCTAGGAATACAGCTAACAAGGGAAGTGAAAGATCTCTTCAAGGAGAACTACAAACCACTGCTCAAGGAAATCAGAGAGGACACAAACAAATGGAAAAACATTCCACGCTCATGGATAGGAAAAATCAATATTGTGAAAATGGCCATACTGCCCAAAGTAATTTATAGATTCAATGATATTCCCATCAAACTAGCATTGACATTCTTCACAGAATTAGAAAAAACTATTTTAAAATTCACAAGGAAACACAAAACAGCCCATATAGTCAAGACAATCCTAAGCAAAAAGAATGAAGCTGAAGGCATCACACTAACCAACTTCAAACTATACAAGGCTACAGTAACCAAAACAGCATGGTACTGGTATAAAAACAGACACATAGACCAATGGAACAGAACAGAGACCTCAGAAATAAGACCACACATCTACAACCATCTGATCTTCGACAAACCTGACAAAAACAAGCAATGAGGAAAGGATACCCTGTTTAATACATGGTACTGGGAGAACTGGCTAGGCATATGCAGAAAATTGAACCTGGACCCATTCCTTACACTTTATACAAAAATTAACTCAAGATGGAAAAATGATTGAAATGTAAAATCCAAAACTATAAAAAGCCTAGAAGAAAATCTAGGCAATACCATACAACATAGGCACAGGCAAAGATTTCATGACAAAAACGTCAAAAGCAATTGAAACAAAAACAAAAATTGACGAACTGGATCTAATTAAACTACAGAGCTTCTGCACAGCAAAATAAACTATCATCAGAGTGAACATACAACCTACAGAATGGGAGAAAAGTTTTGGAACCTATCCAACTGACAAAGGTCTAATATCCAGAGTCTACAAGGAAATTAAACAACTTTACAAGAAAAAAAAATCCCATTAAAAAGGGGGCCAAGGACATGAACAGACACTTCTCAAAGGTACTGGTTTTGTACCAGTACCATGCTGTTTTGGTTACTATAACCTCATAGTATAATTTGAAGTCAGTTAGCATGATGCCTCCAGCTTTGTTCTTTTTGCTTAGGATTGTCTTGGCTATATGGGGTCTTTTTGCTTCCTTATGAATTTTAAAGACATTTATGCAGCCAACAAACATTTGAAAAAAGCTCAACATCACTGATCATTAGAGAAATGTAAATAACCACAACGAGATACTATCTCATGCCAGTCGCAATGGCGAGTATTTAAAAGTCAAGAAACAACAGATGCTGCCAAGGCTGTGGAGAAATAGGAACACTTTTACACTGCTGGTGGAATGTAAATTATTTCAAGGTGATTGAACTAATTTGGTGATTCCTCAAAGATCTAGCACCAGAAATACCATTTGACCCAGCAATCCCATTACTGGGTATATACCCAAAGGAATATAAATCTATTATAAAGATACATGCACATGTATGTTCATTGCATCACTGGTCACAATAGCAAAGACATGGAATTAACCCAAATGACCATCAATGATAGACTGGATAAAGAAAATGTGGTACATGATACACCATGGAATACTATGCAGCCATAAAAAGGAACAAAATCATATCCATTGCAGGGACATGGATGAAGCTAGAAGCCATTATCCTCAGCAGATTAATGCAGGAACAGAAAACGAAACACTGGATGTTCTCACTCATAAGTGGGAGCTGAATGATGAGAACACATGGACACAGGGAGGGGAATAACACACACTGGGGCCTATCAGGGGGTTGTGAGGGGAGGGAGAGCATCAGGATAAACAGCTAATGCATGTGGGGCTTAATACCTAGGTGATGGATTGACAGGTGCAGCAAACCACCATGGCACACGTTTACCTATGTAAGAAACCTGAACATCCTGCACCTGTATCCGGAGCTTAATAAAATAAAAATAAAAAGAAGGAAGGAAAAAAAAAAAGCACAGTTGCATTGCACAGAGACTGTTTTATAGGGATGAGCCTGTCTGTGTCTTAGAATAAATGATTTTAAGGAAACCAGGGAGTCTACTAGAAGAGGAGACAGAAAAGGTGGCAAGGGTTGAGAACTACTGGATATTATAATCAATGCCTGTGTGACAGGATCAATTGTACCCCAAAGCTCAGCATAATGCAATATACTCAGGTAATAATTCTGCACATGTACACCCTGAATCTAAAATAAAAGTTGAAATTATTTATATTAAAAAAAAGAAACTAAGGTCAGTTATGGTGGCTTACACCTGTGATTCCAGCACTTTGGGAGGCCAAGGTGGGAGGACAGCTTGAGCTTAGGAGTTCAAGACCAACCTGGGCAACATGGTGAAACCCCATCTCTACTAAAAATACAAAAATTAGCTGGTGTGTGCCTGTGGTCCCAGCTACTCAGTAGCCTAAGGTGGGAGGATCACTTGAGCCCAGGGGATGGAGTTTGCAGTGAGCCAAGATTGCGCCACTGTACTCCAGCCTGGGTGACGGAGTGAGACCATGTCTCAAAATAAATAAATAAATAAAAAAAGAAAAAGAAAAAAAAAGAAAAAAGAAAGTAGGGAGGCTGATAGGTTGATAGAGTGATTGGTACCCAAATCAAGTAGTAGAAGTTTGAATTCTATGGGAGCTCGGCTTCCTTAGGCAAGTCATATTCAGTAGTGTCATAATCTATTTGAGAGAAATATGTTACCTATCTGATAGAATATTTCCAGAATATATCTAAAAATCCTGTTTAGTGCTCAGAATAGCTGCTGATGCCATTTCTACTTTAATAGCCATTCAACAGGACTCAAAGAATAGAAATACCTCTGTAATGAATATCAAATACTTAGATGGAAAGTTATATTTGGAGATCAAGGGAAATTTATTGTATCTCTACAATTATATTGTTCTGTAGTATTTTTAACTATAACTTTCAATACACTTATTTTCCTAGAGATTAAATATAAAATCTAAATTCACTTTATGTATGTACTCTTATTTCTAAGCAGCTCTACTTTCTGGGTACAATACAAATAGGAAATGGAATAGTTTTTAATTGCCCAAGCTTTAAAGAATGAAGGAGATAATACAACAACACTGAAAAACAATAATCCTTGTATACCGATAATAAAATTTAGGTGAGATATTTATTTTACTCAGGGCTGCCTAGTTCCAACAGTTTGAGAAAGAAATGGACAAGATGATATAAGAGCCAGATTTGGCATCAAATTTATTTATATATAGAATGAGATTTTTCAATTTAAGAATAAATTATGAAAACAGGGGAAATACATGTCTAGTACATGAATTTTCTATTATGAGATTTATTTTAGTAATTCTTTTGAGCACCAGATCCTATATCATTGTATTTTTAGTTCAATGAAACATGAAAGATTCTATTCTAAAATGGAATAACTCAGACTTTTAACAATTCTCCTTTTCTTTTACTTTCTTTTAGTCCTTGAAGAAAGAAACTGCTCAGACCCTGGGGGCCCAGTCAATGGGTACCAGAAAATAACAGGGGGCCCTGGGCTTATCAACGGACGCCATGCTAAAATTGGCACCGTGGTGTCTTTCTTTTGTAACAACTCCTATGTTCTTAGTGGCAATGAGAAAAGAACTTGCCAGCAGAATGGAGAGTGGTCAGGGAAACAGCCCATCTGCATAAAAGGTAACTTACAATTGTTTCTGAAGTCTACGGACATTGATGAAGTTGCTAGACTTTTTGGTAGCTCCTTTGCATGTTTTTAAGCCCCTGGAAAAATGCCTTTCTCTTTTAAGTCCTTTCTGAAACCATATATCTCTGAGGTTGGAAACCATCCTAAAAATATTTGCTTCTTTTTTTTTTTGACCTCAAGAGGACCTGCTTTCCCTAATCACAACACCTTGAGGTGATCAAGAAGAGGAATGTAGTTATCAGAGCAGTTTAGGAAAGATGACAGGGCTGAGTTTAATATATGCAAATCCAAGTATAGAATTGAGGCAATGTATAAGCATGTACATAGCTCCACTTATCTACTTTCTATGCAATATTAAGTTGATGTGAGAAATAAAAGAACAAAATAGACACATCATCCCTGCCAGCCTATGGAGGGGGAGGATTGAAGATGTTAAGATGTTTAAAAACAAAGACAGAGAGTAAACCCTTGTACATTCAAGGGATAGTTATAGGAAGAGATGAGTGGTGTAAGTTCAGCAAAAGGAGAGATCAGCATTCCTGAAATAGGGACAATTGCATGAATCCAGTAGGACTGGAGCCAGTCTGGAAAGCTGGAGAGGATTTGTAGATGTGAAGAGGAGTCGGGATGGTATTCCAAATGGAAGACAGCAGAAAAGAAAAGAGGTGTAGGCAGAAGTGAAGTCATCATGGTAAACTCAAAGTGAGGCAATCTGGGAATCAAGGGGTAAACTTAAATATGTAGGTTGGACAGAAAAGTGGAATATTGTATAGAGAAGTTTGAACCTTCCCCATTGGCAGTGGGGATGCATAGTTTCTCACTGAATTGATTCACTAGTTGCTTCAGGTTAACATCCTCTCTATTTGGGGGCAGGCCACAATGATCTGGCTGTTTACTGGGAAGAAAACATGTCCTTGTCCTAGATTATCCGGATAATTGTCTTAATCCTCCACTTTGCCTTCTGGGTGTTTGTCAACAACCTGAATCATGGGAAAAGGAATGAAAGGGAATGGTTTGTGAAAGGAATAAATCACTTTAGACTTTAGCCAGAAGCGACCTTCATCCCCACCAGCACAAATTCTGATTTTTATTTCATTAAGTATGGGAACGGTGTCACATATGTCCTTGGAGATTTTTGTCCAGTCTTCTCTTACAAATTAATACAACCAAAGTTCTCTAAGTTGCTAATTAGATGAATGTTGGCTGCCTGATTGGGAAAGTGAGATGGGAAGGATTCCTTTTCATTCTTGAAGAAAGAGAGACTTCAACAAAATTAAACTGGGCTTTGAATTGCCCTCAAGTGATTGTTAGGGGCCTTAACAGCAGAGAAAGAACATGGAGGAATCAGTTTTCCAAGACTTATCTATGGTTGACACTGCTGTCTGGTGTCAAAAGAGAACCTTCTAATTCCCCATGTGGGCTATGTTTTAGAACCTTCACTTTGACTTTTATTCCATTTTGATCAAGTTTGCTAATTACATTCACATGAACAGATGATCCTAATCTATGATGCCATTGTCCCAAATCACTCAGGTGGGGCAGCCTTTCAGAGGCATCTGCTCTTCTTGGATTCTTCAGAGGGTGCTGTCAATCAAGATGAAATGCACCAAGCTCTTTTGTAAAGTGAGATGTTCAAGCTTGGCTGACATGTCTTGCCTCTGAGAGCCTGGGGAATGGGCACCTGGTGTCCAGAAGTGGGGGTCAGGTATGAATCTGAACTGAATGATATGAACAGTGAATATGGAAAAGGATCATGCAGCATTGTCTTTTTTATTTCTAGCCTGCCGAGAACCAAAGATTTCAGACCTGGTGAGAAGGAGAGTTCTTCCGATGCAGGTTCAGTCAAGGTGAGGTCAAAACACCTGCACTCTGCCCTGAAGGCTAATGAGTATTTCCCCTTCCATTCCCCTTCCCCACTTGTGTTTGGCCAAAGATAGTCAGTTTGAGGTTTCTTAGGGACATTTAGTGCTAACTGGTCATGAAATAATAGGGCTTGTTAGATGGAGGCTTATTAGCCAGCTGCCTTTAGCCAAGAGGTAGCAACTGTTGGAAGATGTACAAATTTCACTGGATCGTGGGAAAGTAGATGACCGGTGGAAAGCAAGACTTTCAGATGATCTTTGAGAAAATGGACTTGAATCCTTGAGTCTTCCTGAAATTACTATGTACTTGTTATGGTAGCTTCTAGGAAGATGACATTTCTGTTAAACACAGTCAGCTATAATTTAGGAAGATATGCTTGGAGGTAACCAGTGAGATGAGGCAGGCTGGGGGAGCCCAAGAACTAGAGACAAATGACCAGCCATGCAGAAGGATGTGAGCCCCTCTGGTATGCTCAACCTTCCTCCTGGGAAGACAAAGGTGGGGTCCACCTGGTGGGGAGGGAGTAGCCCCTTTCTACTCATTTCTTCTACATTCTCTTCCTCACTCTCTCCACTCAGCTACACGGGCCTCCTTGATTTTCCTCTATCACTCCAAGCACAGTTCTGCTTTGGAAACTACACTGTGGCTCCTTCTGTCTGGAGCCTGCTTCCACAAGATCTCAGGCTTATTGCCTCACTTCCTTCAGTTCTCTGCTCAGTTTTTGCCTAACAGAGAGAGATCTTCCCTAAATATCCTTTTAAAGATAGCAATCCTATCTTCACCCTGACTGTCTAGTGGACCCCTTTACCCAGAATTCTCTAGCCTGTAGTCTGTTTCTGTTTTTATCTTAGCATCTCTCTCCACCTGTTGTCTTACATATTTTTAAGGGTTTATTTGTTCAATTTCTGTCAACCTCACCCTCCCCAAAATGTGAAAGTTACACGTGCAGGAACATTATCTGTTTTGTTCATGCTGAAAGTTCTAGTACCTAAAACAGTACCTGCCACATAGTAGGCACTCAGTAAGTATTTATCGAATGAATGAATTGGATTGACAAACAAAGGTTCAAGACCTGAGTCTGCCTCTGTCTTTAGTGCTGGGTATTCTTGGGCAAGTTCCTAAACCTGCTGAGCCTTAGTTTTTTCTTTTGAAAAGTAGTTATAATCATAGCAATCTGTCTCTGGGGATTGTTTCAAGGATTATATGCAACCCTAATAGCTAACATTTATTGCATGTTTGCTCTGTGTCGGTTGCTCTTCTGAGTATTTTCATGCATTAGTTCATTTAATCCTCACTATAACCTCTGAGGTAGGTATTTTTGTTATCACCATTTTATTACAGATTTTATTACCATTTATATTACAGAGGGGTAAACTGAAGCTCAGAGAAGTTAAGTAACTTGTCCAACATCACATTGCTAGAGTGGCAAAGCCAGGATGTAAATTCAGTATCTGGCTTCCTGGTCTGCTCCCGTATGCACTATACTTTGAGTCTTATGTAAAGGCTGTAGCAAAGTACCTTGCACGCATAATTCATCGGACAGTGATTTCTCACCTATTGTTAGAAATAGTAACAGTGAATTCCGGTGACTGAAATTGACTACAGCTAAGTTCCCTGGAATATTCATAAGTCAGAATATCCATCAGTCTTTCACCCCTCCTCAGGCTGTCTCCTTCCATTTTTGTCTTTTTCCTTTCAGGGGCAAGGCATTTCCTTGGAAACGGTGGCAGTGAAATTCAAATTCTGCCCTCTTTCCTGATCTGTGTGATTTCCCTGGGCTGGACTCTCCACTAAGTGGGATCAACCTGTTCTTCCCAAAGACACATGCTGTAGACGGGCCCCTGCACTATTCAGAAAGACTACTGGGCTTCCTATTTTTAAAGCAATATTAATGGGAGGTTAGGTGGCAAAGTGCCGGGTTTCTCAAGTAAATGAAAAAGCAAGGCTGAAACTTGGTTTTAAGTATCTGTTGGGAAGACAGGCAGCTGAAGTGGAGGGTATCCCTATCTCCAGCAGCCACCTCCTCATCCAGAAGCCCCCAACGACAGTGTAGACCTTCCATAGCCAAGGGAGGAGTTTGTTTGCAAGTTCAGGAGCTCCCTGAGCTACAGACCTCATTATAAACATGAGCTAAAGATTTGTTGAATGAAACCAAGAGGATTGGAATATTTGCTCTGAGCCAAGCACTGTATATGAAATAGATTTCTTGTGATGATATATTGGTATTGGGGGGACACCAGGGTGGAAATTGTGACTGGTAAGCACTGCCTTGGGTACCAAGTTTCTTTACTGCGTGCCTCTGCGTACTTCCACTTGCCTCTCTGCACTTCCTTTGTCCATTCATTAAACAGGGATGAAAACATAGATTCCTAAAGGACTTTCAACTTTTCAGGTGACAGTCATTAGGTGCCAACATAAAATGAACACAAACTGCAGAGTGTGTGCACATCTTCCCCAAGAATCCCTGAGTGGTCTCTGAGGGCTCCAACTTCAGGGCTCATTTAATATCCCCTTTTCCCATTTATATGCAATGCTTCATATTTCTCCCGATCAATGCGCCCTGAGAGAAAGTTCTATTCTCTGAGGTGTACTAATTACACCTGCTAATTGCTAAATCAAGCTACTGTATCAACACAGTTTAGTTTGAGTCAATTCCTAATATTGCCCCATTATGATAATGTTTGGAGGAAAAAAATGTCTACATTTCTCTCATTCAATTTAACTCCCTTTTTTGTTTAATGTTGCAATTAATTTCTTTGTGTGTGCATGTATAATGTACCTTTGGATAGCAGCTATTATGCCAGGTATTATTGTCTTTGGTTAAAATCTTAAGCAGTTGGAATCATGCCAGTAATAGACATGGAGACATAAAATGAAGATTGAAGTATACAAGAGAATTTGCTCAGTGGGAGAGGCAAAGTGTGTGTGTGTGTGTGTGTGTGTGTGTGTGTGTGACAGAGAGAGAGAGAGAAACAGAGAGACAGAAAGAGAGAAACAGAGAGACACAGAATGAGATAGCCATTTTTGGCTGGGTGGCGTAGCTCACACCTGTAATCCCAGCACTTTGGGAGGCCAAGGTGAGTGGATTGCTTGAGCCCAGGAGTTCAAGATCTGCCTGGACAACATGATGAAAACCCATCTCTACTACAAATACAAAAATTAGCTGGGCGTGGTGTTGCATGTCTGTAATCCCAGCTATTCAGGAGGCTGAGGCACAAGAATTGCTTGAACCCAGGAGGTGGAGGTTGCAGTGAGCCAAGATCGCATCACTACACTCCATCCTGGAGTGAGGGACAGAGGGAGACCCTGCCTCAAAAGGCAGACAGACAGAGAGAGAGATAGAGAGAGACAGAGACAGAGATTTTTTCTGTTTCTGTAAACAAATATCTACATGGGACATGGCATGAATGCTAAAGAGGCCACAGTGACTTTCTCTCACCCTGCTCTTTCTCTGGGCCCATGTTTCCTGACCCAGGGAGACACCATTACACCAGCTATACTCAGCGGCCTTCAGCAAGCAGAAACTGCAGAGTGCCCCTACCAAGAAGCCAGCCCTTCCCTTTGGAGATCTGCCCATGGGATACCAACATCTGCATACCCAGCTCCAGTATGAGTGCATCTCACCCTTCTACCGCCGCCTGGGCAGCAGCAGGAGGACATGTCTGAGGACTGGGAAGTGGAGTGGGCGGGCACCATCCTGCATCCCTAGTGAGTCAAGGCTCATTCTTGGGCTTGAGCATGCTCAATCTTTCATGACTGCCTGAGAAAAACCATTAACCCTACTTTTTGGGAGAGCATCTCCAGTGCTTTCTCTAGTTTGGTGATATCTGAAATTCCATAGTTAGAGCTTTTTTTTTCCTTTGGCTTAACCTTACTACCCAGGAGAAATTGACTCACTAAATCTTAGAGGCATGCGTTCTTGGGTGATTCTATCATATTTACTTGGAAAAAATGGTCATTAAGTCACCAAGTGGGGAAAGGGGTTAAAGGTGCCAGAGGGCCTCAAGTTATATAATCTTGGCTACCCTGTTTAAGCCCCAATTTTTACACTCATCACCCAGTGATACTAATTAGGTACTTGTTATTAAGCAATGAGGTATTAGATTGGGCACCGGTGGCTCATGCCTGTAATCTCAGCATTTTGGGAGCCCAAGGTGGGTGGGTCATTTGAGGTCAGGAGCTCGAGACCAGCCTGGCCAACATGGTGAAACCCCATCTCTACTGAAAATATAAAAAAATAAAAATAAAAAATGTAATGAGGTATTAATTACATCATAAGGTTATGATGATGAGTACTGAGATAATATGTCAAAGTGTCCGGATTAGGGGCCTGCATTTACTAAGCTGCCTTCCCCATCCTCTTTGCGAAAGGAGAACAATATGATTTAGTTCATTGTGGTCATGACTATGAGGATAGTCATGATATTTTGAGTTTGTTTGCATGTACCATCTCATTTAATCTCCTCAAGAGCTCTGTGAGACCATTATTATTGTTCTATCCATTTTACAGGCAAGAAGACAGAGGCTCTAAAAGATTAGACAACTTGCCCAAAGTTCTATTGATAGTAAGTGCCTGGGATCAGAACTCAGGTTTCATTTGACTGCAAATCCTAGACTTTATAGCCAGCCATGTCAGGGTGGGTTGATTAATATTTAAATGCAGAAGAAAACTGGGTTACTTATCTTAGTGGTCATCATGCCCATACAGTTCACCTTTCCAGATTTGTGCTCTCTGGTTAAGTGACACATTCTCCTTTGGATGGCAAAGTCTGAGTTTATCTTACTAAGCTGGTACTTTCTCCATAGTCTGCGGGAAAATTGAGAACATCACTGCTCCAAAGACCCAAGGGTTGCGCTGGCCGTGGCAGGCAGCCATCTACAGGAGGACCAGCGGGGTGCATGACGGCAGCCTACACAAGGGAGCGTGGTTCCTAGTCTGCAGCGGTGCCCTGGTGAATGAGCGCACTGTGGTGGTGGCTGCCCACTGTGTTACTGACCTGGGGAAGGTCACCATGATCAAGACAGCAGACCTGAAAGTTGTTTTGGGGAAATTCTACCGGGATGATGACCGGGATGAGAAGACCATCCAGAGCCTACAGGTAAGAGAGGGCTTGCACTTGGAAGCTGGGGCTCTGGCTCAAAAAAACTCCAAGCACGGGAGAGCAGTGATTATACCAAGCTCTGTCCCCTTAGCATGTCAGCAGCCAGCCCAGAGCCTCGCATATAGCAGCGTTCATTATTTCATATTGAGATACTAGATGGGGGTACCTAGAAAGGCTGTGGAGTCTTTTTTCCACCTTGATTATTTTTTAAATAAGATAGAGGCAAAGGCATCTATCACTGTGGTCATCAAAAGTTAATCACCTAAGAGTAAAATGTACTTCTCCTAGTAGCACATGTTACCTGGTAGGATATGTCATAAATTAACAAATTAAAAATTAGTGAAATTATTTGTTTAATGGCTGGCTCTGCCTGAAACCGTTAGCTCCATGAATGTTGTGATTTGTCATTGTACCCTCACAGTGTGGCACAGTGCCTGGCTCAAAGTAGATTATCAATAAATACTTTTTGAATAAAAAAAGGTTAATCACCTATTACATTTGGGCACTGTCCTAGGTAGACAGAGATGTTTTACCCTAGATATACTCTTAACAAATTTACAATATATGTCTGTCTTTCCCTGACTCCCTCCCTGTCTTTTATTCCCCCACCCATCTGTCTATCCATCTATCTTTTCATCCATCCCTCCATCTATCCATCCCCTCATCCATCCATCCATCCATCCATCCCTCCATCCCTCCATCTATCCATCCATCCAGCCATCGATCCATCCATCCGTCTATCCATCCATCCATCCATCCATCCATCCATCCATCCATCCATCTCTCCATCTATCCACCTACCTGTCCATCTATTGTTAAGCCCCCACAATGTGCCTTTCACTGTAAGTAGACACAGAAAAGAATAGAGCACGTTTTATTTTCTCTGAAAAGTCCACAGTTGAGTGGGAGAGATAGACCAATGTATCATAATCAATGTGACACAAGAGAAGCCCCAAGGCAATATACTCAAAGGAGATTGAGGTAATAGAACATATACATAAACATTTTACAAGATGTGTGCTCCTACAGGCTCCCATCAAAAGGCATGACCAGCAAGGACTGGGAAAATCAGGGAAGACTTTGTGGAAAAGTCTTGTGGAATATTCTGAGCATAGCTCTATTTACTGGCTTGAATGTAAATGAAATGTTTACAGTGGACCAGAGGTTGAAAACTTAGCCTGTGAGGGTTTGTGCCTTGATGGTGCTGAAACATATTTTTAATCATTTATTTATTTGCAAGCATTGTTTGTTTAACATCAAGATATTTCAGATAAAGATTTGGAATTCATTTTCTGGCAAAACTAGAATGCTGGTCCCATTTCAGCATGGAGTGGCTGACTGCAGTGATGTGGCCACTGCCCACCTTAGATGGGCATGCAGCCTCAACTGTCCACTTCACTTATTTAATCCCACCTTCCAGGCCCTAGAAAGCACTTTAGTTTGCAATTCTGGAAGTAGAGTAGTTGTTTTCCATGATTTCTTGAGTGAAGTATCTCCAAATAATTGTAGCTGCCTCTTAGACATTTTCTCCCAAAAATTTAGCTCCAAGCCTTGTCTGTTCTTATCCACTGTGGAGCTGGCTCCTCACCATTGCTGCCCATTCCTTGCATTTGTAGATTTCTGCTATCATTCTGCATCCCAACTATGACCCCATCCTGCTTGATGCTGACATCGCCATCCTGAAGCTCCTAGACAAGGCCCGTATCAGCACCCGAGTCCAGCCCATCTGCCTCGCTGCCAGTCGGGATCTCAGCACTTCCTTCCAGGAGTCCCACATCACTGTGGCTGGCTGGAATGTCCTGGCAGACGTGAGGAGCCCTGGCTTCAAGAACGACACACTGCGCTCTGGGGTGGTCAGTGTGGTGGACTCGCTGCTGTGTGAGGAGCAGCATGAGGACCATGGCATCCCAGTGAGTGTCACTGATAACATGTTCTGTGCCAGCTGGGAACCCACTGCCCCTTCTGATATCTGCACTGCAGAGACAGGAGGCATCGCGGCTGTGTCCTTCCCGGGACGAGCATCTCCTGAGCCACGCTGGCATCTGATGGGACTGGTCAGCTGGAGCTATGATAAAACATGCAGCCACAGGCTCTCCACTGCCTTCACCAAGGTGCTGCCTTTTAAAGACTGGATTGAAAGAAATATGAAATGAACCATGCTCATGCACTCCTTGAGAAGTGTTTCTGTATATCCGTCTGTACGTGTGTCATTGCGTGAAGCAGTGTGGGCCTGAAGTGTGATTTGGCCTGTGAACTTGGCTGTGCCAGGGCTTCTGACTTCAGGGACAAAACTCAGTGAAGGGTGAGTAGACCTCCATTGCTGGTAGGCTGATGCCGCGTCCACTACTAGGACAGCCAATTGGAAGATGCCAGGGCTTGCAAGAAGTAAGTTTCTTCAAAGAAGACCATATACAAAACCTCTCCACTCCACTGACCTGGTGGTCTTCCCCAACTTTCAGTTATACGAATGCCATCAGCTTGACCAGGGAAGATCTGGGCTTCATGAGGCCCCTTTTGAGGCTCTCAAGTTCTAGAGAGCTGCCTGTGGGACAGCCCAGGGCAGCAGAGCTGGGATGTGGTGCATGCCTTTGTGTACATGGCCACAGTACAGTCTGGTCCTTTTCCTTCCCCATCTCTTGTACACATTTTAATAAAATAAGGGTTGGCTTCTGAACTACAAAACAAATGTGCTATGCTCTTATTTCTGCACACTGTTTCTCAGAGCTACATGTATCAGGGCTGATGGCTTGGTGATAGCCCTTTAAAATAGTGCCAAGGGCTATCATTCCCAAATGGTGTGTTTGACAAACCCAATACCATCTTTTTAATACCAACTCTCAGAGCTCGGTGGGTCATGGGCCAGGGGAGGAGGGACATGGGTACCCTCCGATAAGGCACAAACAGAAACACCAGAGATTAGATGATTTTTGGGGTTGCCTCTGCTTCTTGTCTTCTAGATCCAACACAAAGTCCTGCTTTGAACCTCCATAAATCTTCATGGAATGCTTTTATAGCATCTGAATTGGAGTCACATATTTACTCACACTAAGTTTAGATATGCCAAGAAACTGTAGCTTCACTGTTGTCTATAACTTATGTGATTTTTCTCTCAAGCCTCACCCTCACCTCCCACCGGATAGTGAAGGAAAGAACATGAATTCAGTCTAGTCAGACACCTTAAGTAATCTTGGCAGTGACCCTCTTTTTGGGGTGACTTACTCTTTTATCCTTTCTCCCCTGCTCTCCTCGCCAGTTTTCTCTTCACTAGGCTGGTGCTTTGGAGGCTTACCTTTCCTCAAGCATTGGGATGAGATTGGGGACCCCCGAGTTCCTGCTGGTTCTTGGGTGTGTGTGGTGGGTCTTTTTGTTGCTGACATTTAGTGCTAGAGTCTGTAATTAGTTTAACTTGTGCTATGTTCTCTATTTCATGGAGCCCAGCACTCCTTCCTGCAGACTCGGCCCCTCATCTCTTGCTGGAACTGGTCCTCCTGGCATCTGGTGGTGACTCCTGTTTGACCCTTGTCTGGGTCACCCAGCCTCATGGCCACAGTGACAACCTTCTCTGGCAACTGCCCAGCCAGACTCTCTGCAACCTCCTTTTCCTCCTTTGGGGGATTGGGGGAACTTCTAGGTCTTTTCCATACCACATGACAGCTGAGAGCCCAGGCTTGTTACCGAGCATTCTGGGAGACATTTGCCTTATGTAGACCCAAACAGGAACTCCCCTGTTCCCTTAATCTATCTCAGAAAACTTAAGGACTTTAGCCCAAGACAGGAGGTGAGGATTTTATTTGTTTCCCAACCTGTCTCCCCCACCATGTCTGGGTCTTGAGCCAGAAGAGAATTTCTTCTACTTTCTCTTTTTGTCAGCCTTTCCTGGGGCTTTCCATAAGTCACATCCTCCTCCTTTCATTCAACCATCCATGCCCATCCTCCTGGCTTAATCAAAGAGCGATGCATTAGTTATCAATGGTTGAGTACAAATTACCCATCACTTAGTGGCTTAAATGGTAAGTGTTTATTCTCTCACAGTGTCAGTGGGTCAGGAATTGGTGAGCAGCTTAACCTGAGGTTGTCATCAACCGGAGCCTTGACGGAGGCTGGAGGATTTGATTCTATAAATATTTATCAGGTCACTCAAAGGTTTTTCTTTGTTAAGCCTAGAAAGCTTGGATCTTAAAAGGTGTAATGGAACTTGGATCAAAGAGATAGATCTGAATTCAAATTCCTGTCTTTTAACTTCTTTTTATTTATTTATTTATTTATTTATTTATTATTATACTTTAAGTTTTAGGGTACATGTGCACATTGTGCAGGTTAGTTACATACGTATACATGTGCCATGCTGGTGTGCTGCACCCACTAACTCGTCATCTAGCATTAGGTATATCTCCCAATGCTATCCCTCCCCCCTCCCCCCACCCCACAACAGTCCCCAGAGTGTGATGTTCCCCTTCCTGTGTCCATGTGATCTCATTGTTCAATTCCCACCTATGAGTGAGAATATGCGGTGTTTGGTTTTTTGTTCTTGCGATAGTTTACAGAGAATGATGGTTTAACTTCTTTTCTAAAGTGATTTTGGGCAAGTACTAAGCTTCTCTACCTCAGCTTCATTATCTGGTAAATTGGCATAATAAAATCTTGAGATTTTACTGTGGTAGCTGTGACAATTAAGTGAGATGTTGTGTAAGGCAACGAACATAATACATGGTATACCTGGCAGGGTCAGGGCTCTTCAGCTAGGCACAGCTCCACAACTGCCTCGGTAGGCACTCCACACATACGTGCCCACAGCCTCCATCTCCTGACTGTGTCCTGACCCTCTGCCTGGAATATCATGTTCTCTACTTCTTTTTAACGCTCTCTTTACTACTTGTGTTATTTTCTCTTCTTGCCTTCCTACTCAGATTTGGTTCACATGTACATCATCTTAGCTATGACTCTGGCCCCTTCAGAAGCTGAATCTGGCCTGAAATTTTGGTAATGACATCCCAGGCTGCTTGGTTAATAGCTCCGTGGCCATTTGCCACCACCCCTGGATCTTCCTACCTTAGCACTGCTCTTGTGGGCTATGAACACTCGATCACACTCACCTAAGACTTTGAGGCAGGCAAAGAGGATCACACACAAGCTTGTCCCTTGGCCATATCTGGCTGCTATCGGAATGTTGTCCATCTCTTTTTGTAACATAGCCCTTGCCTCCCAGCATAGAACTCCAAAGCTAGAAATCTTGAGCATATATAAGTCAGGGGCTTTTCAGAGAATCAGAACTTTTAACAGTCCTATGGAATAAGGGATTACGATAAACACACAAAATTGTGGCCACTGATGGAGAAGTCTGTGCAAGACTGTTGCCTTTGTTTCTGGTGTTGGACCTAAAATCAATCAGGCCAGTGGTCAGGAAGGAAAGCTGGATGTGAAGTCAGCAAAGCAAGGACAAATGGAAAACTGTGTTTGTCTCTTGCTGCCTCCAGCCTCCATGATGTGAGTGACTTGTAGTAGAATCAGGTGCCCTTTGCTCATAGCTGCACACTCACCCAGTCCGAACTCAGGGAAGCCAGAGGAGGATTTCCAGCAGGCATTGGAGGAGCTGTGGGCCTGGGTGCTTTCTCACCCCAACAAGATGAGCTGACAGATAGTGACATTACGTGTGAGCTGCCACAGTGTCTGACGTGCTCAAACAAATCTCAAAGCATGAAAGTAGGCATTGCTTCCCTCTCCTTTCCAAATCTCACGTCAATTTCTCTTGTGTTCACTCTAACCTGGAACCATACAGGGAAGGGAATTCTGCAACCTAGTTTCAGTTTCCCTAAGTTGACACAGAACAAAGCAGTCACAAATTATGGAATACTAATGCTGGAAAAGTGGCTGTCAACTGAGGACACCTTCAGGGAGTGCCAGAGAAGGCTCCTGTTTCATCCAGAGTACTTTGGTTCTGATTTCTTTCGTGATGATTGCTTGTTTTTTTAGGTATCCATGTAGCCCCTGACATCTGACATTATACCAGCTGGGCTTTGGTGCCCAGGAGTTGATCTGGCACTCCCAATGAGACTGCGATGCTCTCTTGTTGAAGATAAATACTTTCACAGAATGCCAATATCTGTCAGAATTATTCTGTGACTTTGATGGATCAAGACCCAAACAAGACCACTTCATATCTTCTGTAATAACAGACAAAAGCAAGGTGACTATGCAAACTACAAAGGTGCCAAATATCCCCTTCTCCTCGTTAATATGAGTGACTGCTGCTTCTTCATCAATTACAGCGGTAGGCTCTTTATAGTCTTTTTTCCTTTTAGATAAGATTTATTACATGGCCAATTATAGAATTACTCCCACTTCCTGACAGCATCCAATCCAGAACAAAGCCCCACTTTGAAACCTAAGATCACTTAACAGAAACTCAAATCCTGTAAGTCCTTTCTAACACACTCTTGATGAGGCACCCCTTGGTTCACCATGATGTGCATCCTACCTCATTGCAAGGAGCAAAAAAATCCCACTTGTTCAATTACAGGTATGTTTCTAGTGGTCTTTGGCTGGAAGGCATTGACTATATATATAATATATACGTATATATAATATATATGTATATTACAATTACAATGGCTTGACTTATGACTTTTTGACTTTATGATAGTATGAAATAATAAACACCGGGGACTCCAAAAGGGGCTGGGAGTGAGGGTTGAATAATTACCTATTTGGTCTCAAACTCCCGAACTCAGGCAATCTGCCTGCCTTGGCCTCCCAAAGTGCTAGGATTACAGGCGTGAGCCACCATGCCTGGCCTGAATTTGGGTTTTTATGTTGTCCTAACCTGGACATGAATGAAGACCTTGAGTCTCATTGCATTGACACAACTGCATGTTGTTCTAACAGAGAATTATCTTAAATGATATCAGATGAGTTAAAAGAAGAAAGCTGACAGCTAATGGATGAGCCAAAGGAGTAAGACACATATCTTTACTCCTGCCTTATTTTTTCTCCTTCTTTAGTATGCTATGAAAATTTTGAGTGAAATACTTTGGATCCCTAGGGCTTGGGGAAGTTTATCTTTTCAGGGCTGTTGGAAAGAACATTTTGGAGTAGCTTGGTAGCAATTTGTGGTCTCTCCTTGCTTTTCTTGGCAGCAGGACTTGCTTTCCCTGGCAGAGCTCTGCCCGGATGTGCTGTTGAGGCCCAGCATTTTAAGAAGACTGTCTCAATGGCTGAGTTTTTTAGGGCTCACTTCACGTTTGTATTCCAATTCACTGAGTGTTTATCCAGAGGCTTGGAAGAGGTTTGATGGAGAGCTTTGTCAACAAAGAAAAAAAAAGTCAGTAGATAAAATTAGAGAATAGCTTTCTCAGGTGAGGAATACATTCAAGACTGAATTCTTGGAGAAAAACGAACCACTGTTATGTTCCTGAACTTATGGTTTCTAGGAAAAAGTAATTCCACACAAGAGAGAAGGAAAGAATGATCTTTCTTAGTGCTTAAATATGTGCAATTCAGGAAAAGTTGTTTATTTTCCATTGAAAGGGGAACAGGGTGTTACAAATGAAGCTGTGTCCAGGTGCTAATAAAATGAAACCTCAGAGTGAACTGGGATAACTTCCAATTCACTGCAGTTATGCAAAGGCATAATTTAGTCGTTTAGTCTTTGATTAAAAAAAACCAACAACTCTGAATCTGTAATCTCAATTTAAAACTAAATTACCTGGTTGCTATCTCTCTCTTTCTCTTATTAAGGAAAATCACTTTATAAGAAAAATACTTTTGGGATGTGATACACAGCCTTTTTCAGAATGACCAAGGAATTTCATAAAGAAGCGAACAGAGAAAATAGAACAAGAATAACATTGCTGGATTTTCTGAGGTCATCAGATTCTGGCTTGGGTCCTTGATTCAGTCCTTTATCCAAATCACTTAGCATTTAATCACAGTGAGCTGCTGTTCAGCAAAGAAATCCCCCCAAAGATACAAAAAATCTCTCCATTCTTTTGCTCCTCATGAGGCTGTCACTACTGAATATTGTAATGTCCCAGCAGAACAAAGGGAAGGGGAAGATGGAGGCATTACTGGCAATCATTGCCAAGGTTAAGAGAAACTAGGGGTAGAAATTAAAATAGCAGTAATCACTCTCAAAGAGTATTTCCACTTCATACAGGATCAAGCAGCTAAAAAAAGAGACAGTTGCTCTAATTCAAAATGTTATGGTTTTTATGGTGGGCATAAAGAATTTGCACTACCCCTGACATTTAGCCTCAAGTCATCTTGTAGAAGAAATGCTGACGGAGGGAATGATATACTGAGAACTCACAATTCATCTTTTTCCATTGTCTCCTTTCTTCATCTATACTAAACAAACGGGATGAATTCACACTCTTTCCGTTAGAATTCATCAGGCAGTAAGCATGGCTATCCACTGTTTCAGCCTTCCCGAGCCCTCTACCTAATGAGACGATTTCTGCCTGCAGAATGGATTATATTTAGACCAAGCTCTCAGTCTGAATTGAGATTTCTGTGAAGTAATATCTTTTTTCTCATCAGCTAAGAGAGTGAGGTAAAAATAGAACTCCCTGACTTCTCTTTTGCTAATGTGTGTTAACAAGAAGAGTGAATGAACTCAGCTTGTATCTTACAGCTCCAAACACCCTTAAGATGGATGATTCCCTTGAGTCTCTATTCAGTGACCACCACCAGACTGACAGGGCTACAGGCTGGCTCATCTGTAGCTGTACTGTGTTGTTGAAACCAAAGCATTACCACTGATCTTTTGGGTGATGAGAGTGCCAGCAGCTAGGAAGCTGACATCATGAAGATGATAACAGCTCAGTGTGCCAGGAACTGTGCTAAGTGCTTTATGTGACATAGCCTCATTCAGTTCTCATATGAGCCCAGTGGATGGGTTCACTACTATACCCACTGATGCTCAGAGGGTTAAGTAACTTACTCAAGGTCACTCAAAATGGAAAGAAAGAATGATAAACTCAATTTGAATCTCACTGCTCCAAACATGGTCAAGATGGATGGTTCCCAGGTCGGTCTAATTCAGAAGACTGTTATAACTTCTGTGGCCACATTAGCATTCTTAGTTCAAAGTCCTGGTGGTGCCACTGTGAACATTCTCCTCCTGCTACTTATTGCTCTAAGCCCACTTATCTTTCTGAAATCTTTTCATTTCCAATTTAGTTTCAGGATTCTCCCGTTTCTCTCTTTCATGCTCTTGGCTTCAGAACCAACACTGTCAGAGAATAGTATCTTTCCTCTGAAATTGGAACACTATATAATAATTTTCATTCATGTTTTTCATTCATCCTAAAATAGCTCATATTTTTGAAAACTAGCAAACTCGTATTAGTTGTCATATGAAGGAGCCCTTACTGTGTCCTCTGTTTTACTTAATTAAAAAAAACATTAAGGTATCTAGTCTTATAGTTAATGATTGGGTCAAAGTGTTAAAGACAGATCCAGACACACAGCTTATAATTCCTTGGTTATTTAGGGAGGCAGAGGACATTGTATTCACACAGTGTATTCACGCTACATGCCAGGACCTGTGATATCTGCTTTATATATATAATTTTTGAAGCTACAAGAATTATTTCCATTTTGCAGAGGAGGGAGTTTAGGCTCAAAGAGATCAGGTGACCCACTCAATGTCACTTGCGGAGAAACTGGGATTTGAATACAGGCCTGCTCAACTCCAAAGCCTAGATTTACTTTACCAAGAACAGCTGTGTGGAAAGTCTGTAAGGACAAATCTGTTCCCAGAGTGGTTCTGACTTTGCAAAGAACCACAAATATGAATGCCCCACCTAACGAGCTGATGGTGGATAGTTTTCTCATTACTAAGTTTTGGAAAGCATCAATAATCTTAAAAAGCAAAGCAGATGAAACAGTAACTGCACTTGGGGGGAAAAGTCAAATTCATATTTCTGGGACGTTACTAAATGACAGCGACTTTTGAGTGGCTAACCCTTGGGTCACTTGGCTGTTATTTCTCTCTCTAGGTTACTTTCTTCTGATAAACTTTGAACATTGAAACATTTCTCCTTTATTGTCATCATGAGGGGGAATGGTTTATTCAGCAGCCTTTCATGGGAAAGCAATGTAGGACTTTTTTTTTTCTTTTCTATATTAGGAGTTCCCTCCCACCCAACCTCCCTTATGTGGAGCTGCAATGACCAATCTGAAGCATTCTGCAGGAGAGCCAAGACAGGGGATGAATCCCTTACAAGAGCCCAATATAAGGGAATCTTTTTCTCTTCTTTGGTCCAACTAAGCTCCTACAATAATTGCCAAAGAATGTTGAGAATTGTAGCATTTAGGACTGAAAAATTTGAGGCCATATTGTGACTTCTCCCATAGTATAAATATACCTTCTTCTGATTTCTAGTAAATAGTCTGACCAAGTCTATTTATCTGCTGGAAAACCCCACAGTAGAGAGGTCCCACATGTTATGGGGGCTACCTGTTCCAACAAGTATAACATCCTCACTCCAAGTTGCATAGCAGAGAGGTTAAAAAGCGAGATTCTGCAGGAAGACTGCTTAAACTCAAACCCTGGCTTCATCCATTAGCCCTGTACAGCCATTCTTCACCCTTCTCCATCCTCTGTTTCTCAGGGAGGTTGGACTGCAAGGACTGCATGTGAATTGTTTCAGTGGACTCTCCTGCCCTCCAGCTTCCATCTGGCTTTGGCCAGTATAGAGCCCTGGAAGGAAAAGAAGGACTGGAGGAAAGTGTGCATTGGGGTATTTATTCCCAGACCCCCTTCCAGCAGACTGCTATGGCCACAGTCTCAGCTTCTGTCAAGTGGCCTTCTGCATGCAGAACTCTCCTCTGGGTCCTGGTACTCTCCTTTTGGCTTAGGATGGGCAATTGTTCCCTACTGTTAGTAGCCCAGGGAGTCTGCCCTATCCCTTAGAGTTTTCCTACCCCCTCCCACACCCTTCTAAATGACTCCTTTATTAAACTTATCACAATTTACTTAATTTAAATATGCCATCTTTTTTTTTTTTTAAGCTGGGACTCCGACAAATACAACCACTGACTGTATAACCTTGGGCAAATTCCTTAATTCCTCTTGGTCTCAGTTTTCTCCTCTGTAAAATGGTGGTTTAATAATATTTTCTGCAGAAGGTCATCTTAAGAATCAAAGTACAATATATAAGGTGCAGTACATTATGCATATAGGAATTACTAAGGAAATGCTAAGCTCATATAACTACCACAAAGTTCTAGCTCACACACTACCTTAACTCAACTATAGTAACTCACTTCTGGGAACTTGGGTTAAGTTTTCAGTCAAGAATCAATAAGGCAAAAAAGAAAAAAACCCTTATAATCAAAATTCATTTTAAAAAATCCCTTACATCACCTATCAGAATATGGTACAGTTGATTTTCTTGTATCCAGTCCTGCAGAGTAGTTCTTATTGACATTGAAGTTTGAGAACCCATCAGCTAGACTTAAGAAAGGTAAATCTATATGTAAATGTCAGTCTTCTGCTTTTGCCATGACTATGGGGTCCCTAGAGGAGACTGAGAGATGCCAGCAAATTCCAAAGTGTTCATGCAGCTTGTGGGGTCGGCCTTGTTCTGTTCTTCTTCCAAGGTTCTGTCAACTTATTGCCGGCTAAGAGACTTGTAGTTTGCCGTGCAGATTAAAAGGAGACCCTGGGGTCACACGGTAGGTAGGGAGGCTAGGTTCTCAAGACAGCTCAGCTGTAAATTACACTGGGTGAATGCTGCTGTTCCCATGTGTCTAGGATGGTTCTCTATTGAGCATGAAAAAGATGTAAGCATTTCCCACATATTCTATTTAATCATCACAACAACCCTGATGATGATCATTATTATCTTCTCCAGTTTGGGGATGAGGAAGCTAAGATCCTGTGCCCAGAATAAGGTAACACAGAGTCTAATACTTGGCGGGGATAGTATTTAAGGCAGGATTGTCTGACCCAGAGCTGAGTTTTTATTCGGCATGGTCACGTGGTTGTACAGTAGCTAACCCCTAATGCTCTGTGAGTGCACAACATAAGAAGAAAACTCTATGTTTTTGTAGCTGCTCACATTGGTTACCTAGAATAACATACAAGTGTTTGTTTGCCTGGAAAGTTTTTTATTCCCTGTATTTAAAGGCAAGAGGATCAGCCCTGTATTCTAGCAATTTCTTTCTGAAGGCTAAATGTACCATGCTCCAACTACTTCTTGGGGCCCTGTTTCCAGACCCTTCTCTATGTTGTTGAACCACTTCTAGTCCAGCACTTCCCAACTCTGGCTGCGCAGTGGACTCAATCACCTGGGGAAGTCCTTTAAAAATGCCCAAGTCAGCCCCCGCCTAACCCCAAAGATGCATGGACCAGAAATCTCTGAAAGGTGGCCTGAGTATTACTATTTTCTAAAAGGCTCTCTCAGACCATTTTAATGGGCACCCAGTGTTGAAAATAACTGCTCCAGTTTGTTAAAAAATAATTGGTGTGAATATTGGCAAAAGCCCTCTGGCACAAAGAAAGAGAACCAGTTTCTTCTAGCTAATGTTTGTTAGCCAGAATTATCTGTGGCATAGTCCATGTGACTTAATAGACCTGGTCTTCCAGGGCAGCTGAATGCAAATGTTTCTCACGTGTAGAACGGGATGTCAGGGCTTACAGAGAAAGTGGGAAACTGGAATGATGACTCCATCTAATTCGGCCATGCTGGATGATTCACCTGGATTCTCTCATGTCCTGAGCATTGAAAACATAATGAAGAGTTTTTAAATTGAATGTTTAAAAGAGTGAAAACAACTCCATCCCTTTTTCTGTTTCCTTTTACCTTGTATTTATGTACCACCAGGTACCTTGCTCTTGGCAGTGAGCGTGAATGAATGGCACAGCTCAGCCCCTGAAGCCTGTGTGCAGAGATTGAGGGATTGTGATGGAGTAGTTCATTCATGCTCATGTTAAGGGGGGTGCTAATAGCAGACTAGTGCTCCTGCGATTATTAATATCTAGGTCTGGGACAGATTGTGATGGCTTCTTTTCCAGTTGCCACCTCAGCAGAAAGGGAAATAGAAAACCCTAACTTGTAAAGTTAGACAATTAGACTGTAAAGTTTGTATATGTGACAACTTCAGATACAAAGACACACACTTACCCTTGACGGGGCTTAAGAGGAGAGTGTCAAACATAATACCAAAGTGAAAGAAGATAGCTCTTCATCTACAAATTATTTTTAAACACATTTACCAGGTTAAACAATAACTAATTTTTCGGAAGAGAAGAGTACCCAAAGTCAAATGCCCTAAGACGAAGAGATGCTTATGGCATTTTTTTTTAAATAAAGAAAATGCAAAGTTAGAGTGGTTCTGAAGGAACCTAGGATGAATAAGGTACAGACATGATTATTCTAATGGTGCAGACAGGATTGAGAGAGAAGGGGGGAGGGGAGAGATGGAGAAAGGCATGGATGGAAGATGACGTTTGGATTCAGATTTTGGAAAGGAGAGTAAAGGAAGGAGGTAAGCAGAGATTTATTTTTTAAATTTTATTAATGTGTTTTCCCCTCTTTTTCTTGTTATTTTTCTCATCTGTCTGTTCATACTTGGATATTTTGTCCAATAAACTATCTTCTAAGGACTCTGAAAATGCACTGAATATTTTTGGAGGGTTTACTGGGTGCCAGACGCCACTTTAGGAGTTTTACATATCCTCTCCATTTCATTTAGTTCTCTTAGCACAGAGAAGTGGGAGAAGATAGTCCCATTTTACAGGTGGGATGAAGAGAGAGATGGAGGAATTTGCCCCAGGTTACTCAGCTAGAAGGTGGTGAAGAACTCAAGCCTTCGGATATCAGCGCCTGGCATTTAACTACCAATCGGTCCTGCTGGGACTCCGGCTCCTCTGGCACCATCCCCGGGACCTACTCAGAGAGTTTGCACGTGGCCGGTCGCGTTCCATCGTCTAACAAGGTCCAGCACAGCGCAAATCCGAAGATCGTCTACCCCGGGGAAAAAGAGAGTCTGTTTAATTCTCCTGTGGCCCTCCAAGTGAGTTCTTTTGGGTTCCATTGCCTAGACGAGGAAAGTGAGGCTTTGCCTGCTCTGCGCTCACAGGGTCGGCAAGTAGTGGGACCCTAGGTTCCTGCAGTATTCCAGAGATAATCAAAGCTGCACAGGTCTCGTCATTTTTATGCAAAGGCGTCCGGAAGGCTCGAACTCTCCCTTGCACAAGCCCATCTGTCTCTGTGCGCCGCCCCCGGGACACGGAAGCAGGCGGCGAGCAGCGCCGAGTGGGTGGAGAACCGTCCCCCGCCACTCACCCCTCGGCCAACTCTCCGCGCCTTCTCAGCCGGCACCCACGAGGCCGACCTCTCTCGGCCTAAAAAAAAAAAAAAAAAATCCCGGCCTCCCCTGCACCCCGCCCGCCGCCCCCAGGGAGCTGCATTAATATTAATCTCGCTGAATAATTGAAGGCCAGAGATTTATTCGAGCTTCGGCGGGGGAGGGAGCGCAGCTGGGCCGCGTTTAGGCTGCACCACCCGCGTGTTTCAGCCGCTCGACTCCGCTGGACCTGGGACCCCCAGACGTGGGAGGATGGGGTGGGTGTGCCTGCCTGTGAGTTTGGGGGTGAGTGTGAGCTGAAGCGGGTGCTCCGGGGAGTGAGGAGGGAGCGCCAGGGGCTGCTCCAGGGAGGCGGAGACGGAGGGGCATCCCGGGTCTCCGCGCGGTCGCCTGCGCTTCACCCCGCACGGGGTGAC
The DNA here is from genome assembly GCF_000001405.40 of Homo sapiens. Lineage (NCBI taxonomy): Eukaryota > Metazoa > Chordata > Mammalia > Primates > Hominidae > Homo > Homo sapiens. The sequence continues at coordinate 35,419,776 of NC_000011.10, read as the reverse complement.
CTGGGGCCACGCGGGCTTCAGGGGAAACAATAGCTACTCCTTAGATCCTGGGCTCCTGCCACCGGCTGCCCAAGCCTTCCCGGACGAGCGGCGGGGCCTCTTTTCTTATTTGGCTAATTTATGGCGAGAGGCTGGGGGGAGGGATGGCAGAGGAGGGACCGCGACTGGAGATGGGGGCGGGGGGCGGCGGTTAAAGGAGTTGCCCGAGGCGGCGGCGCGGGTGATGTCAGCTCTCGACGAAAATAGAGAGGGATCGCCTGCAAATCCCCAGCTCCGGCGGGGCTAAACCTTGCAATCCCTCCCTGGCCGGCGCCGAGCCAGAGCGCAGCGGCCTCCACCGCCTCCCCAGGCGCGCACACACCCGCACACGCGCACGCACGCTCACCGTCCTCTGCCACCACTCTCTGCTCCCGCCACTCGCCGCGCCCGCGAGCCCCGCAGCAAAGCACAGGTGGCAGCGGCTGCAGGGGCGCATCGCCGGCGTGCGCCCTCCTGCAGCCCTGGGCGCATCGCTCTCTCGGGGAAGCCACCCTCGGAGCCCCCGGAGCTCCCCGCCAAGCGCCATCCCCGCGGGCGGAGGGGAGCGCGGGTCGCGCGCCGTGGAGAGCCGGGACGCGGATTAGCGCCCGCAGGAGCCTCCTGCGCCCGTTGAGGCGCTAAAGGGCTTACCCCGGAGGCGGGTGGAAGGGCGGGCAGAGGCTCCTCTTAAATACCGCTCCCGGCCGCACTTCGCGCTCACCCCGGCGTCCGCTTTCTCCCTCGCCCACAGCTGCCGGATAGTGCTGAAGAGGAGGGGGCGTTCCCCAGACCATGGCATCTACGGAAGGGTGAGGGGATTTTTATCTGTACCCGCGGGAAAGCGGGGTCACGCGCGGGGTGGTGGCGCCCCTATCCGGGATGCGGATAGAGAGGCGGCGGCGGCGGGCCTCGGAGGTGGTGGCGGAGCCGTAGCTTGGCTGGGGATGGGATGGTGGGGAGGGGATTGATTTTCTTTCCTGGAGATTGCTGCTTAATCCTTTGAAAATGCGAGAGGTGGAGGGTTGTTTTATTTTGATAAAAAGGGTAAGGTGCGCTGGGGGCCTGAGAGTGTGAGGAAGAAATCCTCTTGAGGTTACTTTTGGGATTTCAAAACAATAGGGGATTGGGCATAGTGTGAGCAGACACCGGGGTAGCAGCGCCTGGAGCGCGGCGCCCCAGGCCCGAGGCGGGCTTGCAGGTGGTGCCGGCTCGGAAGGAATGAGCCAAGACAGGGCCCTGGGGCGGGGCAAGGACCAGCGCGCGCGGCCTTGAACGCCAGGTTTGCAGAGTCGCCATGGAGATGCTGGGCCCGCTCCGATCGGTCCTTGTCCCTGGAAGGCGGAATCTCCCTGGCTAGCTCTAAGGAAGGGTGGAAGAGATTTGGGTGCTTCCCGGGAGGCGGGAAAACGTGTGGTTTGGGACAAGGGCAGGAGTCGCCAGACTCCAGCGGGCAGGGATAGCATTGGCTTCCCTATTCAGCCCGAGGATCTGGAGTCGTGTCCTGCCTCCCAAGATTCCAGCTGGCATGGGGAAAGCTCCCTCGCAGTGATAACTAAAGACAATTGTCTTTAGCAAGAGACAGAAGGGGCTGCAGGGGGCAAAAGGATTCTTTGAATACTCACACATCAAAGGAAAGGTCCACAGAGTCCTTGGACCAGTATCTCCCAGAAAACTTTTTGGGCTTCGTAGAACCTGAGTGGCAATGAAAAGACTGGGCAGCTCAGCCCTTTGGTTAATTCCCAAAATTGCAGTTACTCACTTGCAAGCGATCACAAAATCCATGTTATGTGAAAAGCAAATATCAGGGGCTTCTCTGGGCTCAAGTGGTGGTGTTGGCATTTTCCAGTTTCTCCTAAGAAATTTTACCAACTCCGCAGGCTTGTTTTAGGGGAATGGATCTCTAAACAGGCTGAAGAGCTGGTATCCAAAGCCAGATCTCTAGACTGCAATCTCCAATAGAAGGAAAATATTTCTAGAACTGTCTCTCTGTCCAGGAGAAGGAATTCATTCATTTTCTGTCCCCCAGAGTCCTTCCAAAGGCATCTGGCATCTTGTCATTGCATGAAATTTTGTCTCTCCCTTTGCCCTATTTTGCAGTTTAGACTTTTTTGATTATTATTTCTCCAAAAAGATGTTTCAGGAAGACACCTGTGTACAAGGAGGGTGGTACCTTGTGCTAAAACAGATCTCTAGAAATAGATACTAGGAGCCCATATGGATCAAGATCAGTGTCTTACCATGTTTAGTTAAAAAGGCTTTTATATTAGAAAAGATATGAAAGAATTTCTGGTTGCCTTCATGGACCTTCTAGACTTATCCTTGCTTGTAAAGGCTAGGGTGGAAAACATCTGTGAAAAAGATGGATGATATTAGTCTTCCAAATCCTGCATCCAGCTCACTCCCTATTTTGATGGCCAGATAGAGAAGGAGAGGTTACAACAACAACCCCAAACTAAGTAAGTTTATTTCACCTTTGTCCTAAATGAAAGCTGTCAAATGATGTGACATTCAATGTAGAGCCAAAGTGATTTTCGGCATTTTAGAAAGATTCCCATCCAATTAATCCCATCTTTCTGCACTGTTTATGGTTAAGAAAAGATTCATCAGAGGAACTTATATTTAAGAGAAGAAAGAATTGAAAAAAGTTGAACGGCTGGGAAACAAATATAGGATCTATGACCCATTATTATTTAACAGCAGTAACTGATGAGCAGGTGACATTCTCAGAAGCCCTGGTCTTTCCTTTCTTCTTCTCTTCTTTTCTTGCAGGAGCATTTACTGAGCACTTGTTGAGTGGAACTCACATGTGAGGAACTCCGAGTTGGGGGGATACAGAAATAGTCTGGGATTTGCCTTTTAGAAGTCTAGCTCCATCCAGTCAAGGATTTTTATTAGTAAATTGTTCACGTGGACTCATGAGATCTCTTGCAACTTCTAACATCTTTGGTTAATGTGCCTTGTAAAGAAAAATTTACTAAGACTCCTCAGGCTGTCTCCTTTGTTAGCTTTTGCCCTCTAACAATATTGAAATTGTTTCCTTGAAACATACATTACTGAGAAGGAAGCAAAAATAGCAATATAGTTATATGCTTTCAATTTATATATTTTCAGTTCAACTTTGTTTGATCCAGAATGTTTGGGGAATAGGATAATATGGGAAACTGACCATTCTGGTTCACATTTATTTGGTGATGTAATTATCAGCCGCAGAACATGTTAATTACCAATTTCTAAAGAATTATTAGAAGCAATAATGACATCTTATGTTTGTTTAACACTTCACTTTCAAAGCTCATTCGTGTACCTCATCACATTTGATTCTTCCAGTAACTCTGTGAAGTAGGCAGTCCAACAAAAATAGACTTTAAGGATAAAATTATATATAGGGAATACCATCTTTTCAGAAAGATTCCAAGACTTGGCAAAGCTTTGGGGTTATCATCTGAAAATGATGTGTGCTGGGCATGGCTGGTGCAGATTACTGGCTTTCTCTCAAACTTTTGGCATACCTATCCTGCAAATTGCCTTTTAGGATATTCTCTTTGTAACCTGTGCATTGATCTTTGCCTGTACAGAGCATATGCCACCACAGTCTGGTTTTTTGAGGGCTTTGATTATTTGGAATTGAGATTATTAGCATCCAGTTTCTATAAAAATCAATAGTGGACTCTTTGGTAGTTCCCAGGCTCTGAGAGGTATTTTCCTGCAAAGCAAGGTCTAATTTAATAGTTGAGCATTCTTTTTTCTGAGTCCCCTGTCATGGCTAGAATTACGGAGATGGCTTTTAGGTCCCTGACCCAAATTGGAAAGAGATTATAAGTAGTTGGTGGCAGCCAGGCTAGTGTCCATTACTGACTGGGTCACAGTGGAGTGTCCAGATGCTGAAGAGGCAGGCATTTTAGAAATATCTTCTTGGAGGTGGGGGGTGGCTAGGTCACTCTGTATGTCAGAGACCCACGGCAATCTGTCTTCTGATCAGCTCCCAGGAGCCAAGGGTCAGGGGAAAGCCAGCCATGAGGGCTTGGGCTTCAGTTTGACTTAAAGAGCAAGGGAAACAGAAAACTGCTGACAGTGGAAAAACCCTGGCAAGGGAGACCCCTTGAATTTATTATTTCAAGCAAATAAAAGCAAACCATAACCATTGTCCTCTTGCTTCTCCCCTTGGGAATGAATTTGAGGTCAGCAGGAGGAAGACCCTACAGCGTGGACTTATTGGAAAGTGAGTGAAGGATGTGGGGCTTATGGTCTAGAGGGGTTTGCAGGTTGCATGCCTCAGGCTTGGCTGGAATTTTCATTTCTCATTTTCAATAATATAGAAATCAGCCTCCTTGGGGAAAATAGATATTAGTAGAGCTATGAGAAAACCATTTCATGTTTACTAAGACAGTCGCTTGTGAGTAATTGAAAGCTTAATTCTCAGGAAATAATTTCTAAATCCAGATGAAACTTGTGAGGCAGAAACTCCATGTTATTAAAAACCAAAAGACAAATCTGTTCATCAGTATCAATGGCCACTTCTTTTCCTCTTCCATGCAACACAATTAGGTGTTTTGTGTCTCCTTTGGCTTTGGCTTTAAAGGATGTGTCAGACAAGGAAAAGTCCTTAAGTGATGATGCTTCAGCTGCAAAAAACGAGCAATATATTTAACAGCTAAGTGTGAGATTTCTGGGTCAGTGTGCCATAAATCCTACAGTTCCAGAATTGCAAAGCTTTTTCATGATTTGAAGCTCAACACAGAGTGATTTCAATGTAAATCCTCCCCTCCCTGCCCTCCTCCATGGCTGTGTCACACAATGCCCTGATGTCTGGTTTCCCCCCTTTTAAAGGCAAACTGAATTGTTTCTCATATTGAATTTTTCTCCCATTGGACTGGCTTGCCTCTTGGCATGAGCTGAAACTATTCTTCATTTCAGTCGCCTGCTACAATTATTTTAATCTACTAAAACACTGATAGTATTAAATCTTCTAGGAATAGTAGGCAGAAGCATTATTCTGAAGATAAAATTTTAGTTTTGCTTGCATTTAAAGAACTTGTCTTCGCAGTCTGAAGAAACATCTAACAAACACCAGACACTGCCTTGCTTGCAGCTTTTGATTTCATGCCCTTAACAGCTTGTTGGGGGCCAGGCAGGATGCTTCATAGAAAGGGTTTTAGAATCCAGATTATGGCAAATCTCTTTATTTACCACGATCATGAGCTTGCTCTCTCCTCCCTCTGCCCGCCCCTCACCCCGCAACTCTCCAAGTGCCAACTCCTTGGAACGAATTAATTAAAGGAATGTTTAAAAATATCTCTTTGCTCCATCTTCAAGTGCTCCATCATTGACTGGAGGCAGATGGGCCACATATTTGTCGGTAGAATAGAAAAGGACTAGCATCTCATTATAAATCTGTCTGGTTGGCTTTAAATGATGTCAGAAAAGACAATGGGCCCGCAGTATTAAAGGAGAATGAAAGGAAGATCTTTAAAATTTTAAAAAGAAGACCCATTTTCTTAGTGCTCTGGTTTTTCTTTTAAAAAGTATTGTTTCTCAATGGTGTTGATATTTATTTATTTTTCATTCATGTATTTAATGTCTCACTTAGATAAACAGATATGACCACTGTTGGCTGAACTGCTGTTTGGTGTTTTTGGCAATCTCGACAGTTGCTTTAGAATATGGACTCACTGAGCAAGAATTGTCCTTTGAAAATGGAATGAAGGGAATGAACTCGATTTGATGGCTAGACTTGATCTGTGTCAATCCTGGTCTCTAGGATAGATGATGGCAATGTTAAAGACCTTGAATGATGTTTGGGGTCAAGGAGGGAGATGCTGTCCCCATGCCCCCCTCTATTTTAGAGGCTTCACTTAAATCACTGAGAGTACTTTCTTCTCTTACGTTTGGTCAGGAGGGCCATCTGTCACTTGCTGTTTGTAATCTGGCACAGGACTTTCTGTCATGTGGTTCTGCCATCCCAAGTTCCCAGCCACTGTGCTGTCAGGATCACAGAGCTGGTGACGAAGTTGGAAGTGAATCTGAGACCTGTCTGCCTCCCGCTTTGCCTTTTTCCCAGCACTGGACATGAGGTACTGGGTGCCTGTGGACTGTATGTGGCCCATGGGTATATTCTTATAGGCTCACAGAGGATTTTGAACATGTTTTAATTGTTCACCTATACTTACTTTTACCTTAAAAAAAATCCTGATTCTGGCTTCTCTTAAAAATTGGGAGATCTGATGACAAAGAACCTTCCCTTTTATCTTGGTACCATTTATTGAGTGATTATATCCCAGTTGGCTTTAAACAGTTTAATGTGTATCAATTTATTTAATCCCCACAACAATATGATGCAGCAGGAGTGACTCTTAGCCTCATTTTACAGGTATAGAAACTGAGGCACAGAAAGAGTAGGTGAATTGCCCAAGATTTTACAGCCAGTGAGTGGCAAAGCTAGGCTTTCAAACCAAGCATCCTGGCTCTGGGATCCATGCCTGTAGTTACTAGGCCATACCTCTTAGTCCAGCAGGGCAGGGGTTAACTGGGGCTGAGGAATGGCCATCTCCTGAGATAGGGCATATGCCTTTCAGGTTGGGCACAGTCTGTTCTGAGACTACTTTTCTCATGTTACCTGCCTGACCCCTTACCTTTCCAAGGAAGTTATTGAGAGATTGAAAGCGTGCGTACCATTCTCTTGGTATACACCATTGCCTAGTGGTTTTGGATTTGAAGAATTATTCAAAATCTCATTTCTATGTAAAAAAAAAGATCTTTCAAGCTACCTTTCCCCCCACCCCCCAAAGCACTTCTTGTTATTTTCTTTAACTTTGGTCTGGGTTGTACATAATGGAGAGGTCTTTTGTAATTATTGGTTTGGTAGTCAGGAAGCCAATAGCGTTGTCTGGTCTAGAGGCAGTGCTTTGAAAGAGCCCAGGGCATGACCACATGGGTCCCAACCTTTGGGATATTGAATTGAGCCTTGGGTATGTGCTTTGTAGTGGCAAATGTAGCTGAGCTTATAGCAGGCCCTGGAATTTATGTTTTCTTTTGCAGCCTTCAGGTGTGGCTGTTTAGGGTTGCGACTTAACTTACGCTCTTTACTGAAACAGCGACTGGTCTTGTCCCTCTAGGAGTGGGGCTGATATTTATTTCATAGCAGATGCAAACAGTGATGAGCTAAGGATGCCTTTTGAATTGAGGAAGAAATCTTTCAGAGGCGTATTTCTGTGTTTTAAAGAGTGGGACAGTTTGCTCATCACCCAACAGATGGCAGTAAATGTCAGCACTTTGTCCACACTGGTGGTCTGACTCCCTTTGGAAGCCCTTCAATCCTTAGGGAATCCCAATTCCCATGGCATTTCATTCTCTTTTGATTATAAAAGCTTTCTCCACCAAGTATAGAATTTGGTAAGAGTGAGGCAATTGACATATATCTACAGTGTTCCATATCACCATAAACAAATATAAATAGGATCAGCCAAGCTTATGTGGCTATATATATATGACTTCATTTCATCCTTGAAAATCCCCTAGGGAATATTATCTCATTTTAGAGATGAAAAAACTGGAACTTAGAGAAGTTTTGATTTTATGCTGTTACTGAGTTTTTAGGTTTTTTTTGTCATCTAATTGTACTGTGTTTTGTATTATCCATATTTTGCAATTAATCCACATTTCCTTAAAATTTCATGGATCCTTCCTTTGCTTTTTATTTTTGTTTTGTTTTTTTTTTTTGCTCCAGTAAGTGTCTTCAATAATTTCATTCAAAGAAAGCAAGATAACCTAGTGTCTCTGAAGAAAAAATAATGTAAGAATCTTAAATTCTTAAAGAATCTTAAAGAATTTAAGAGGCAATGCCTTAAGAAGGACAGCAACTATTACAGAAAGAAGTTATTCTTTGAGTGGAGATGTGCCATTCAAAAGAAAATGTCACCATAAAAAAGTGAGAATAAGTTTAGTTAATTGAAAATGATTGTCAAACCTATTTGTAGATGTCAAACAAGATAATTTCAAATGGAAGAAGTAGTAGTACATGAAGGGAGATAGGTAAAAGAAAACAGAGAAAAGAAGAAAATCATTCTTCTCTCTTAGATATCATGGAAAGCTAACTGCTGCAGATTGTGTTTAATCTCAATCTTTACTTAAAAGGACAGTTGGGCTGGGCATAGTGGTGTGCACCTGTAGTCCTAGCTATTCGGGAGGCTGAGGCGAGAGGATCTCTTGAGCGTGGGAGTTGGGGGCTGCAGTGAGCTAGCTATAACAATGCCTGTGAATAACCACTGCACTCCAACCTGGGCAACATAGCAAGATCCTGTCTCTAAAAAAATTAATTAAGAAAGAACAGTTGGAATCTGATAGATTTCTTAGGAAAGTGGATGGACATCAACATGAACAAAACCCAATTAAACAAACTTGTTCAAGAGTGAAATGGATGGTTATCAACCAACAACACACATCTCAGACATTCTAAAGTGGCTGATGGTACCTGGGGAATTGGTTCAGCTATCATTTTTTCTATTTATATGCAACATATGGTCTAGAAAAGGTGTGAAGAATAAATATTGGGCTAATTTCTAAGAATAGATTAGAGAGTAATGGAATTATAGACTGAATCTATTTTCCCAGGATTTTTCTGGAACTCAATCCCATCAATCAGCAGATATTTATAAAATCATCATAGAATCTTAGCATTTGAAGGATTATTGATTTTTAGGTCATAATTAATTGCTAACATTTCAAATGTAGAACTCATTATCTATTAGTCTGAGAGCATTGAACTTTAGATTCTTTTCACAGGTATTGATACACTGGGGTTGAGGTGTCATTGGTTGGTCCCAGGAAGCAGATTCTGAGATGGAGACTTGTGTGCATGGAATTTATTGGGAGGAGCTTTCAGCGTAAATCCTTATGAAGGAATGAGGGAAGCCAGGGTAGGCAGAGGGAGAGGTTGAAACAGTCGCACCAAAGCCTGCCCACCCACAAGGAGCTCTGGAACAGGGATGGCCCTTCAGAATGATCCTGAATTGAGGAAAGAGATTTGGCCTTTCTACTCCTGCATTAACCAGCCATTGAATGGGGCTGTGCTGGAACGGGACATGGCCCTCGGTACAGGGCAAGGCTTGGGGTTGGGGGGAATATAGTTAAGAGCTGTCACTTATCAACATGCCCAGCAGCTGGGCAAATGAATCATTCAGTCCTGAATGTGGGGGGAAAGGGATCTGGGTAGCATGTCACAGCATCCACCACTGTTTCCAAATTCAAATGTTAGAAAGATAATAAAATAATGAGTCTGGTTGCTTGTGATCAGAATATCCAGGCGTCCACAAAGCTATCATCTGTAATAAAATGCTATACCTTGCTGGTCAAGTGATACAAAATTTCAGGTAGTCAGGAGGAATAACATTAAGTGATCTATTGTTCAGCATGGTGACTATAGTTGACAGCAATTGACTGTGTACTTGAAAATTGGGAGAACAGTAGATTTTAAGTATTCTCACCACCAAAAAATGATAAGTATGTAAAATAATGGATACATTAATTAGCTTGATTTATTTTATTCCACAGTGTATGTGTATATCAAAGCATCATGTTGTATACCACAAATACATACTATTTTTTTTGTTAGAAATAAATAAGGAACTAAATAAAGCTCTATCTTAAAAAATAAAAACCTCAAATATTACAAAATGGCATACAGTAAAAAAGTAAAAGACTATCTCCGGCCCCAATCCTGTTCTCCAGAAATAGTCATTTTTTTTTGTCTGCCCTTTAAGACAGGGAAAGTGGATTCTGATGGGCAGGCTGGGGAGAATTCAAGGTCATCATCTTCCTTAGGTTTATTTATTTGTTTATTTATTTATTTGTTTTTGAGACAGAGCCTTGCTCTGTCACTTAGGCTGGAGTGCAGTGGCATGATCTCGGCTCACTGCAGCTTCCACCTCCTGGGTTCCAGTGATTCTCCTGCCTCAGCCTCTTGAGTAGCTGGGTTTACAGGTACGCACCACGATGCCTGGCTAATTTTTGTATTTTTAGTAGAGATAGGATTTCACCATATTGGCCAGGCTGGTCTTGAACTCCTGACCTCAGGTAATCCATCCGCCTAGGCCTCCCAAAGTGCTGAGATTATAGGCGTGAACCACCATGCCTAGCCATCTTCCTCAGCTTTAGCTGTGTCTCACATAGTCACCAAGTACATAAGAGAGAAGCCCTTCTCTTCATTCCAGTCCTTCCAAGGGTGCCATGTCCAATGGAAAGATGGTTATCTGAAAGTCCTGCTATAGAGAGAGAAATTAGTTACATTAATCTAATTTCTATCTAGAGTGGTGAGTATAATGGAAGGGGTCAGAAGGAATAATAAATAAATATATTGGGAACAAGAGTATAGCTATTATTGACATTTTCAGTGTTGACAGCAGCCATTTTCACACTCCTGCAAGTGTTATTTCCCATGGAGTCCTTACCTGGGGAAAAGTGAACAATGAATTAGGTAAATCCTTTCTGGAATATCCACTGCATTGTTCTGTTGATTCAAGAAGTCAGGTAGTCTGTCAACTTCAAGCCAAAGGTACGTATATGTTGACATTTCTCTGTTCTATTCCACTGGCAAATATTAAGATATGTTCAGAGGTGAAAGAACACTTTTGTACACACAACCCAAGGTCTTGCAAATTATATCTTCGTGAGTGTTTTCCCTTATTTTCTTGCATCAGTTGACTCTGCTTTCTGAGACCAAGACATTGATTATCATTGTGTTTGTGTTTTTATCAGCACAACAAATTAATTCCAGTGACTCAATTGTAGAGCAACAGAAGGTAGAGCAAGCCAACCAAATCTCATTGGAAATTGCCTTGCTTTTCTTTCCTTACCTGTTTTTAATAGTTACAAATCTGTTATTTACCATGGCAGATCGATATTATGCATATTTCCAGTTTATGGGTAAAGATGTCACTGATTACATTCAATCTACATTTAGGAAATACATTTTTGCACATAGAATGTAACAGCCAAATAAAAGAGTGTGAATGATTCACTATTCACTGTCAGATAAATTATTTTTAACAAAAACTTTTACCCTTTTGTCCTCTGGACCAGTGGCTCCTTCCCCATCACACAAAAACATGGCTTTATTAACAATAAAAGCAAAACCCTTAAATATACCCGGCATACCTGAAACTGGGAATAAAAAGAGGTTTAATTGGACTTACAGTTCCACATGGCTGAGGAGGCCTCCGATTCATGGCGAGAGGTGAAAGGCATTTCTTACATGGCGGCAGCAAGAGAAAAATGATGAAGAAGCAAAAGTGGAAACCCCTGATAAACCCATCAGATCTTGTGAGACTTATTCACTACCACGAGAATACCATGGGAAAGACTGGCCCCATGATTCAATTACCTCCCTCTGGGTCCCTCCCACAGCACATGGGAATTCTGGGAGATACAATTCAAGTTGAGATTTGGGTGGGGACACAGCCAAACCATATCAAGGGGGATGAGGCACTGAGACTAGTTAGAAGATGGCAGCAATAGTTTAGGTGGGAGATTATGACCTGAATTAAGGTATAGAAATGAGCATAGGTTACCAGATTCCAAGGATATTTAGAAGGACTTGGTGACCAAGTGCAAGTAGGTGTGAGCAGGTGGAAGGGCTTAAAGCCATCTCTCAGCCTTCTAGATTAAGCAAATGGGGGCGAGGTAAGTGCAGAAAAAGGAATTCAGGAGAGAAATTAAATTTGAAGAAGACAGTGAATTTGGTTCAGCATACTGGCTTAGCATTTGTGGCGAGTGGAATATCAGTAGAGATGTTCACTGGGCAGTTAGAGTCATGACAGGCCGGGGCCTTTATGGAGTGCTATTTGTATTACAGATGTAAGGGAGCTCACCCGCACACAGCATGAAGCTAGAGAAAAGAACTGGGCTAAGAGAAGCATCCTGGGAAGCTCTAGTATCTGAAGATGGGCAGAGGGAGGTGATTCACGGGGTGCGGGGTGCAGGGTGCTGAGAAGTAAGGAAGGGAGTCAAGAGTGAGCAGGTGACTTGAAGTGGCCGACAGTGCTGCATGCTATGGAGAGGTCAAATCGTGGAAGGACTGAAAAGTACTCATTGGATTAGTCAATTTCAAGGCCATCATTGGCCTTTGCCAGAGCTGGGTCAGCAAAGTGATGGCAGCTGTTGCCATGTTGGTGTGGGTTGAGAATGGGTGGAGAGAAAATGAATGCAAATTATTTTTTTCCATAAATGGTAGTCAAGAGGTAGATGGTACTAGGAAAGCAGATAAGGCAAGAGCAGGATTATATGTTGGGTTGTTTTAGTTTTAGGCCAGGTGTGCTATAAGCCTGTTCATCTGCTAAGGGAAGGGCTTGATTAATGAAGAGGAGGTCTTGAATTATCCGTGGAAGATACTGATGAAGGAAAGAGTTAGAACCTGAGGCTAATTCATTGCTCACTTTGGGGGTTCCTGCAGGAAGAGCAGGGTGCCTCTGTGAGACTGATCCCACAGTATAGGGGAGCACTACTCAGAAGGGACAGGGAGGAAATGGCTGCCTGCCTAGATGGTCAAGTCCACATGATCAACCCTGGTCATCTGTAGAGTGACAGATGGGGCAGCCAGCTTGTCCTTACTTCTATAGCCTCATTAGTCAGCAAGCTAGAGTTGGATGTATTTTAGTAGTGCTTGCTGTTTTTTTTTTTTTTAAGATTTACCTTTTAAGTCCTTTCTAAGTCTCCCTAGTTGGAATTCTTCTCTTTCTTCCCTTAACCCTTCATCATTTATGCTCTTGCATAGTTTGTGAAAATTTTATTGGACCCAGTTTTAATCCCAATCTCCTCTTGGGCTCTGCATTCCCTTTAAATCACTTCCTGGATATTTGCATAGCACATGTATCCTGATAACTCCCAAATGTATGTTTCTATTTCAGGCCTTTTTTCTAGGTTCTAGATTCATATATCCTACAACCTAACTGATGTCTCCATTTGTGCAATGCATAGATGTCTGGAAATTATCATAGTACAATGGAACTCTTGATTTTTTTTTCCCTACAAACTCATCTGTACCCACTCCCAAGTTTCCCCATCTCAGTAAATTCTATCTGTTTAGAGATTCAAAGCCAGAAATGTTGGTATTAACCCTGCCTTTTTTTTCTTCCTTCAGCCTCAACCTACAAGCTTACTAATTTCTACCTCAGTTCCTCAGATATCCCATGGTCTTGCCCACATTTGCATTCTCTTTTCCAGAACCACTTTCTACCCTACCACCATTCCACAGATGACTGGCACCCTCTGATCCTGGAGCATGCTTTGGTCCTCAGCTTGAATAATATTTCCCAGAGAGGCCTTCTCTTCCCATTCCACCTAAAATAGGTCTCTCTTTCCTAGTCCTACCTCATTCCCCTTGTTTGCTTCCTTCACTGCATCAATTACAACTTTTACATATTTTATTTATCTGTCTGTTTGTATCTACAAAGTAAGCACTTTGAAGACTAGTTCATCATCATGTCCTCCTAGATCCTAATGCAGTGCACTCAGTAAGCATTTGTTGGCTGAATTCTCATCCTTGTCAGCCTGGAGAAGGAGGGAAGGCTTCTCAGAAGAGGTGATGTTTGAGTTGTGCCTCTTCCAGGGAGTCTGTCCTTATTACACTTTGTTCAGACCTCTCTCATAGCAACTCATCATAACAGAGTGTGCTAAGTGTTTTCTTGTCTGTCTGTTCACTATCCTGGTATCTCTCTGAGGATCAGGGTTACATTAATTTCTTTGTGCCTCATCTTATTATCATTATCACGATGAATGTTAGTATAATTGAATTGTCTACCTCGCAAAAGAGATATGCAAGGGCATAGAGACGACAGAAGGGAACAGGTGTGGGAGGCAACAGATCCAAGGTTGAGAAAACATTTCCTTTTGCTTGTTGGGTCATGGTCATCTTGGTAAGGTTCTGGTGGTCAATTGAACATCCCCATTCCTGCCTACCAGTCAATAATTACCCTTTGCTAGGGGTTAATAGGGTTCAAGGAGGTTACAAGAATAATCAGTTGGGAAGCAGCTCATCTTGTGAAGCCAAAAATGTATTTGTCACAGTCATTCATGTCCCCATGCAGCTGTCTGGGAAAATTACAAACTCCTGTATCTGCAGTTCTTTTAAAATGCAATGAAATTTCATCAGAAAAGAATCTTTGAGCCCATCCTCTGTCTTTCCCAGGATGCCTGCCTCCTCTCAGAATCATGTCTGTCTATTCCTTTCCATTGTTCTTTGTAAAGGAAAACAAGGAGAAGCTAGAATGAATTTGATATTCAGATACAAAGAAGGAATTTCTTAAGTCAAAGCAGATTTTTCAATTACATTAGTTAAAAAAAAAAAAAAAATCCAGGGCTTGAAAACTGATTTAGAAAAAGAAAAGTTACCAGAAGCAGACAACGTTGTTGTTAAATTGATCTTTTAACTATTAAAGAGACACTTAGTATGTTTAATCAGTCTCAATAGAGTTCCCTTACTCTGGTTTTGTATGGGTCTAGAAATAATACCTTGTAGTTGGTATGTGTGTTTTCCAGCAACCTAAATAAAAATGTTAGCTATTCTTATATTTCCTGAAATGGAGTTCTTTTCTGGAGTTTTCTGGTGACTGGACATGTTGGGAGATATTTATTGCATCCTGGTGGGATAAGAGAAGAAAAACCATGGCTGGCATCTTCTTTCTTGACTCTGCGAGTCCTCACAGTGCGAGTCCTGTGATTGGATGAAAGATCAGTTTATAAAATCCCCTTCCTGAGCCTTATGGGAAAGTCTTCAGCTGAAGCTATCCTCATCATCCTTATGGAAAATGCTAGAATCCTCCTAGATTCAGAGCCAGGGCACTCAAACTGCTGTTTTTGAAGTGAAAGTAGAGTCAAAGCCGAGATGCTGGGTTTTCTCGTCTGCTCTGACAGGGAAGCCATTGTTAGTTGCGAGAACCAAGCATATACAGATTTCATTTTTACTTTATTTGCTTTCTCTCTCCCTCTGAAGACTGTCAATGGGGTTCAAGGCAAGTAAACTCTAGATCTCAACACAAAATTCACACGTGATTGTCCAGTGGTCAGACAGACCGGGAACAATTTGCCCAGCAGGGAGCACTGTGGAGCCACACCTCTGAACCATGGTGATTTTCCTGCTGCTTTGAAGGAAGAGCGAGAGGGCAAATTACCTCTTTCCCAGGCCCCGCACCAGCTGTTGTCTTGGTTTCCAAGAAGGGAAGCCCAACCACTTTGTTTACATTCCAAGTGACCTGGAGTAACAACCGGGGACCAGCTCTCTGGAGGCCAAGGCTACACCTGGGACAACTGGCTGAGGTTGAAAGTGAGTTGACAGCAGTTGCCATTCACCAGCGGGTCCTGGGTCCTCGTCCTCATCCTTGTCTTTGTCCTCTTGGCTTCCCCTGGGAGTCATCAGCGGGGTTCGAACAAGATTTGCTGGTTCCGGAGCTTGGGTATGTTCAGCCTGGTTTTTTCTGGGTTATTGAAAAATGTTTTAAGGTGAATGGGGCAACCCTGGGTTAGAAGGGAGGCCTTAAAAGCAGGAAGCCTAGACACTCAAGGGATTGAAAAAACATTTGGAAAGGGTTGGAAAGGCCCCAAAATCAACAACACAAGAATGGAGGCATGAAAACAGGTATTTCTTTTCAAAATGACTTACCAGCCACCCCCAAAGTCTAGCTTTTAACCCAATGGGAAGCAAGCAACAAAATTAAAATAGGTGTGAAAACGTTGTGTTTTTGGTAAAGGGCACACTGCCTTAGGAGGCGCCCGTGGAGGAGCAGAGACTGATCCACGTGTCCATATGTTTGCTTAGAGAGGACTTTCCCTCTTTGCCTTTGAGCTAAGCTGCTGAGCCAAGCCAGCAAGATGAAGATGTTCCCTTGCTTTTAGGGAACAGGAAAATCAGGATTCTGTCCAGCTGTGGCTCTAGTTTCTGGTTAGGGGGCATTAAATTAATCCTTGAGTTTCTCATGTCATAAGATCACAGGATATTTGTTGAATAAATAAATGCATGCAGCCGAAGAGCTCACTGGATGAGTTCTTTACCTCAAGAATTT
The DNA here is from genome assembly GCF_000001405.40 of Homo sapiens. NCBI lineage: Eukaryota > Metazoa > Chordata > Mammalia > Primates > Hominidae > Homo > Homo sapiens. The sequence goes on along the minus strand of NC_000011.10, from coordinate 35,403,712 downwards.
CTGGTTTCTCCTTCAAGACAATCTTAGATTATTTGGGCATAAACATAGGAACCCTGGGAAGCAGGACCTGCTTTATGGATATGCGACTTAGGCAGTCCACGGTTTAATGCTCTGCTCTTATCATCTTGAAATGTTTAATTTGAACAAGGGGTCTCAAGATTTCATTTTGCCCAAATTACGTGCAGACCCACACATTATGTAGCCAGTCCTACAGGGCAGCCACACATGTGCAGGCTTGCATGAAATCCTCTTACCAGTGACAGTGAACATGGTAAAGATGACAGATGACCTTGAGACAATCTGCCTTCTGGCAGTGCACTAGAATATTCTCATAAGGAGATACTTTCATAAAACAGCTTCTGAGCCAGTGTTGCACAGCAGTTAAGAAGACGTGTTTTATACTCAGAAAGACCTAGGCAAAAATTCCTGTTCCACCACTCAGTAGCTGTGTGACTTTGGGGAAGTTAATTAGCCTCTCTGAGACTCAGATTCTTTATCTTTTAAATAAGGACAATATCACCCACCTGATAGGGTTTTGGAATGGATGAAAGCAGGATGTGTGTGAAGCGTTCGGCATAGTGCCTGGGACCTGGAAGATACCTATAATGTTGATTGTCATTGTTCTTCTTGGAATAGCAGTACTGTGTTACTTTTAGTCTGTTGAGCTTAGATGGGGTTATCCATCAGTCTCTTGACTTTGCAAATTAGGCTGCTAACACTTGGTGCATACCCAAAGGTATGTTTGCTAATTCTTTTCCATAGAGCCACAGGTGATAAGATTAGAAAGTAGGCCCTGGGCTTCTTTGATCATTTGAGTGCTGTATTTGCTCTAGCGAAGGGTTGTTTGAAGATTTTTCTCTTATGTGCTTTTAATCCATAACTGTTTTTACTTCCAACACTTCTAACTCCAAATGCGTGGTGTCTTTCCCGACACCAGGCAGGTGTCCTGCAAGTCAGTTCAGTTCTGATGCTATCCACCTGGGCTATGGCTATCCTACAGATTGAGGGCTCAGTCCCATGAGGTTGCCTTCACTTCAGGTGTCAGTCACAAGTCCCAGGTTGTCTCTGGTACTTCTGACTGACAGGCTGTAATTTCTAATTTCAGGGGGTTTCCACAACACCCTCCTCAAGTTCAATAATTCCCTAGAGCAGCTTACAGAACACAAGGAAACATTTTACTGATATTTACCAGTTTATTATAAAGGATACAACTCAGAAACAGCCAAGTGAAAGAGATGCATAGGGCAAGGTATCAGGGAAGGGCTCGGAGCTTTCATGCCTCTCTGGGTGGGCCACCCTCCCAGCACCTGGATGTGTTCACCAACCTGAAGTTTTTCAGACCCCATTGTTCAGGGATTTTTATGGAGGGTACATTATTAGGTATGATTGATTAAATCATTGACCATTGGTGATTAACACAATCTCCAGCCCCTCTCCCCTCCCTGGAATTTGGTGGGTGGCACTGAAAGTTCTAATCCTTAGTCTTTCTGGTGAGCAGTCCCCATCCTGAAGCTATCTAGGGGCCCCCAGCCACTGGTCATCTCATTCGCACACCAAAGTCACCCAAAGGTTTTAGCTATGTGCCAGCAACTTGGGACAAAGACCAAATATTTATTTTTTATTGTATCACAACCCTCTAATATCAAAGTCTCCCCAAGCAACGAGTGCCTGACTTTCCACTCATTCATTCATTCATTCATTCACAAACTTTCTAAAAATATAACTGATTGTTTCAGGTGATGTTGGGTGGGGGCACAGGAAGTAAAAGATATTTCAAGCCTAGGACAGGCAGCCACTAGGCAGGAGCATCATAGAGGGCCCGAGCCTTGGAAGTAGGGGGTGGACTGGATGACTGTTGTTTCCTTTAACACTGAGGGTCTACCCCCACCAATATGGCGCTTTAAGGTTTCCAACACTTTAAAGCATCTGGAAGGCCAAGATGAGTTTGAGAAACATGTGACAGAATGTTACAATCAGCAGGTGAGTAGGTACGTGGATAAAGGGAATCCATGTGGTGTAGAAAAAAAATGCTCATCTCTGAAATAAAACATTAAAAAAATAGTATGCAGCTAGGACGTGTAAACCAAAAATAAAATTCTAAGCTCCCCAAGCAACGGAGTGGACCCCTCCTCTCACCCAAGGGCATTCTAAAGCAAACCTGAAACGCTGGTTTAGGCCATGATGAGGATGGGTGGTTGAACATTTCTCATTATACCCTCCTTCCTTTGGAATTCAGGTACAGCTGACTAGCATTAACATTAAAAGAGACCTTAAGACTGACAAAAAAGACTCTTTGTAGCAATAAGATATCAACATGACGGATAACAGGCCCTGAAAGAAATCAAAGTGTTTTACCCTCAAATATATTTTCAACATATTTTGAAATGCCCTGCAAAAGCTGTCTCTTGTGGGGAAAATCTCCCTTCTGTAGAAAATCCTGTTCCTTTTCCAGGTCTTTTTTTCTGATCCAGGAGAGAACTAAGAGTCTGACACATTTTTAAGTCTGATAAGAAACACTTACAGTCCATTCTCTCTGAAGCCTGCTACCTGGAGACTTAATCTGCATAATAAGGACCTTGGTCCCCACAACCCCTTATCTTAACCCAGACACTCCCTTCTATTGATTCCAGGTCTTTAAATAAACTTTTTCAACCAATTACCAATCAGAAAATCCTTGAACCTACCTATCACATAGAAGCCCCGCCCACCCACCTCCTTGCTTCCAGTTGTCCTGCCTTTTGGAACCAAACCGATGTGCATCTTACATGTATTGATTGATGTTTTATGTCTCCCCAAAATGTATAAAGTGTGTAAACAAACAAAGCCATAGCCCAACCCCCTTGGGCACATGTTCTCAGGATCTCCTGGGGTTATGTCACGGGCCATAGTCACTCGTATTTGGCTCAGAATAAATCTTTTCAAATATTTTACAGAGTTTGACACTTTTCACCAGTAAACACTAAAAGACTTCTATTTGATTATTTTTCAGGAGAATCAAGTAGTTAGACTTAAAAAAAAGTTATCCCTCTAGAAATTTTCATGGGATTGATTTTTCATGGATATACCTATAATATATGTGGCTGGAGTAAACCATATTAAGGCAGCATTCTGTAAGGATGGAGAGTTTATCCATAACGAATTTATTCATCATAGATGAAATCTATACTAATTAGACACAAGCATGATCTTCAAAAACTCCACAATACTTATCTCACTAACCAGGAATAAATGCCTTTAACATTGGTATATTTTATTTCAGATGCATGTACACATGTCAATACATTTTTTATAGTGGGAGCATAACCTACAGATTTTTGCAACCTACAATTTTTACTTAGCAATGTGTTGTGAATGTATGTTAATAAGTGAATCTATAAACTTGTTTAACGGCTGTATATAGTTTTCATTTTTTGGAGGTACCATGACTTTTACAAACTATCTCCTATTGTTGGATATTTAGCTTGTTTCTAATTTTTCACTATTATAAACGTTTTGCATGTACACCTATGCTGACCTGTCTCACTATTTCTTAGGGTAGGTTGCTAGAAGGGAAATCACTGGGTCAAATGGCACACATACTCATTATTTTGACACATGCTGCCAATTAGCCAGTGTCTGAAGGGGCAGGAGATTCTCCAATGCAGTTGTCTTTTTGAGTCCCCCTTACCGCTATGTCTCTTACTTGCAGTTGTGATATCAAATGGCTCTGGGGTTGACTTTGAATTCCTCATTACATGGCAAAATCTTCAGCCAGGTTTAGGCTAAACAAAAATCTTTCTTCTGTATTTGGTGAGCTTTTTGTTCCTAGGTTGGCTGTTTATAGCTCCCTAATCTTTGACATCCCACATCACCCTATGTTGAAATTGTCATTTTAAAAATGTAAACTGTAGCACATTCTCTAATTTCTTTCTGTAATTGTGCAGAGTTCACATTGTATTTCTAAGAACTTTGCTTTCTTCTACTGAGTACTTTCTCTAAAATGGTGGCTCCCGACTTTATTCAGGGCTGGTTTCTTCTTTTTGGCCCTGCAGATGGAAAGAGCTGAATATCCCCTCTATTTTGAGTAGGAATAGATGATTGAATACTCCGCATACAAATGGAAAACGCATCATCTATCTGCAGGCATCATGATTACCAGGTTTGATTCTCATGTTCGTAACTATCTTGTCTCAAGACCCACCATTGCCTCCTCCTTCTCCTAGCTCTACCTCCTGCTGTGGCTCTCCAGATTTTGTATTTACATTCTATGATGGTTCTTCATTTATATAACAAAGTGTGATGGAGAACAGGAAATCTTTTAGAGAAATCAATCAGGGAAAATCATACAAAATGGCTTCATTATCTGGGTAAGTCAAGCTCAAGCTGTTTATAATTAGAGTACTTAACTATGCTTGCTTTAGTGTCCCATGAGCCTTAGGAGGCAGTTGCAGGAGGCTAAGTGTTGGTGAAGACCAACTCTTGACTTCCTTAGGGATAAAGAGGGACTAAATTGGGAGGACAGCAGGGTAGGGGCAAGAGGAAGAGGAAAGAAGAGTAGGAAGTCCATGTGAAAGGCAACCGTGGGTAGGCTTGCTTTTTCCAGACTGGTAGGAACAGATTCCAAACCAAACATTTTTATTTTGTGAGTAACTGGCAGGCTGATGCAAATAAACTCTCTCAAATGAAGTGTCTCCTAGAATCCCTAATGACCCAGCCATAGGCAGCTTATGCAGGGTTTAGTGTATTATCCTTCCTTCCCATTCAGGAAGCTGCTGAAACACCCTCTGCTTATTCTCATGTATTTCACAGCACCAGAGCTGAGTAAATGGAGTGGAGGCTAAGCCTCCTCACATTGCCCCTCTGACGCAGTTGGGCAGCGGTACGACTTTCTATTCCTGGATAAACTGTGGACCCCAAATATGTATTTGAGTAGCCTTTACTTAACACAATATGCTGTTGCTGTAGGCTTTGTATCCTATGAATGGACCATTTCCTAGTAGTGCTTCAAGTTTGGGCTGTGTTTCCTTGATCAAACTCAGGCCATATATATTTTTTTCTTTCCAACTTTTATTTTAGGTCCAAGGGGTACATGTCCAGGTTTGTTACATGGATAAATTGCATGTCACAGGGGTTTGGTATACAGGTTATTTCATCATGCAGTTAATAAGCATAGTACCTGATACGTAGTTTTGTGATATTCACCCTCCTCCCACCCTCCACCCTCAAGTAGACCCCAGTGTCTGTTGTTCTCTTCTTTGTGTCCATATGTCCTCAATGTTTAGCTCTCTCTTATGAGTGAGAACATGTGGTGTTTGGTTTTCAGTTCCTGCCTAAAGTTGCTTAGGATAATGGCCTCCAGATGTATCCATGTTGCTGCAAGGGACATGATTTCATTCCTTTTTATGGCTGCATGGTATTCTGTGGTGTATATGTACCACATTTTCTTTATCCACTTCACCATTGATGGGCATCTAGGTCAATTCCATGTCAGATCATATTTTTTTTCTATCCCCTTCAAAAGTGAGAGGGGCCAGTGCATGTGAAGTTTGGAAATGAGAGCCAAGTAGGTTTACATGTCTCGTGAGGCACAATATGATTCTCTACTTGTCATCACTGTGGATGGACTCAGGATGTTCCAGTCCCCTTGTTATCCTGAGGACCACAGTCAAAGCATGTTGAGAAACCCAGGTTTTAGCCCTGCCTGTGCTGCTGGCTGCTGGACCAGCAATCCTTCTGTCATATCTCACAATATGCTTTGTGAGTTTTAAAGACTGGGAGAAAGAAGAAAATGGAGTTCACTCATGTCTTTGTTTGGGTTGGTGTCACACAATTCCATAAACTGGGTGGCTTAAAAATAACAGAAGTTTATTTCTCATAGTTGTGGAGCCTGGGAAGTCTAAGATCGGGGTGCTGGCAGATTTGGTGTCTAGTGAGTGCCCACTTCCTCATAGATGGTGCCCTCTCACTGTGTCCTGACCTGGTGGAAGGGGTGAGGGGTCTCTCTTGGGGCTCTTTTATAAGGGCTCTAATTCCATTCATGAGGGCTCCACCTGCCTGACCTAATCACCTCCCAAAAACTCACCTCCAAATACCATCACCATGGGGGTGAGGATTTCAACATAAGAAGTTTGGAGGGTAATGCCTAGGTTTTCTTCTAGGGTTTTTATGGTTTTAGGTCTAACGTTTAAATCTTTAATCCATCTTGAATTGATTTTTGTATAAGGTGTAAGGAAGGGATCCAGTTTCAGCTTTCTACATATGGCTAGCCAGTTTTCCCAGCACCATTTATTAAATAGGGAATCCTTTCCCCATTGCTTGTTTTTCTCAGGTTTGTCAAAGATCAGATAGTTGTAGGTATGCGGCGTTATTTCTGAGGGCTCTGTTCTGTTCCATTGATCTATATCTCTGTTTTGGTACCAGTACCATGCTGTTTTGGTTACTGTAGCCTTGTAGTATAGTTTGAAGTCAGGTAGCGTGATGCCTCCGGCTTTGTTCTTTTGGCTTAGGATTGACTTGGCGATGTGGGCTGTTTTTTGGTTCCATATGAACTTTAAAGTAGTTTTTTCCAATTCTGTGAAGAAAGTCATTGGTAGCTTGATGGGGATGGCATTGAATCTGTAAATTACCTTGGGCAGTATGGCCATTTTCACAATATTGATTCTTCCTACCCATGAGCATGGAATGTTCTTCCATTTGTTTGTATCCTCTTTTATTTCTTTGAGCAGTGGTTTGTAGTTCTCCTTGAAGAGGTCCTTCACATCCCTTGTAAGTTGGATTCCTAGGTATTTTATTCTCTTTGAAGCAATTGTGAATGGGAGTTCACTCATGATTTGGCTCTCTGTTTGTGTGTTGTTGGTGTATAAGAATGCTTGTGATTTTTGCACATTGATTTTGTATCCTGAGACTTTGCTGAAGTTGCTTATCAGCTTAAGGAGATTTTGGGCTGAGACAATGGGGTTTTACCATTCAGGACATAGGCATGGGCAAGGACTTCATGTCCAAAACACCAAAAGCAATGGCAACAAAAGAAAAAATTGACAAATGGGATCTAATTAAAATAAAGAGCTTCTGCACAGCAAAAGAAACTACCATCAGAGTGAACAGGCAACCTAAAAAATGGGAGAAAATTTTCCCAACCTACTCATCTGACAAAGGGCTAATATCCAGAATCTACAATGAACTCAAACAAATTTACAAGAAAAAAACAAACAACCCCATCAAAAAGTGGGCGAAGGACATGAACAGACACTTCTCAAAAGAAGACATTTATGCAGCCAAAAAACACATGAAAAAATGCTCATCATCACTGGCCATCAGAGAAATGCAAATCAAAACCACTATGAGATACCATCTCACACCAGTTAGAATGGCAATCATTAAAAAGTCAGGAAACAACAGGTGCTGGAGAGGATGTGGAGAAACAGGAACACTTTTACACTGTTGGTGGGACTGTAAACTAGTTCAACCATTGTGGAAGTCAGTGTGGCGATTCCTCAGGGATCTAGAACTAGAAATACCATTTGACCCAGCCATCCCATTACTGGGTATATACCCAAATGACTATAAATCATGCTGCTATAAAGACACATGCACACGTATGTTTATTGCAGCATTATTCACAATAGCAAAGACTTGGAACCAACCCAAATGTCCAACAATGATAGACTGGATTAAGAAAATGTGGCACATATACAACATGGAATACTATGCAGCCATAAAAAATGATGAGTTCACGTCCTTTGTAGGGACATGGATGAAATTGGAAATCATCATTCTCAGTAATCTATCGCAAGAACAAAAAACCAAACACCGCATATTCTCACTCATAGGTGGGAATTGAACAATGAGATCACATGGACACAGGAAGGGGAATATCACACTCTGGGGACTGTTGTGGGGTGGGGGGAGGGGGGAGGGATAGCATTGGGAGATATACCTAATGCTAGATGACGAGTTAGTGGGTGCAGCGCACCAGCACGGCACATGTATACATATGTAACTAACCTGCACAATGTGCACATGTACCCTAAAACTTAAAGTATAATTAAAAAAAAAAAAAAAAGAAGTTTGGAGGGACACAAACATTCAGTCCGTAGCAGCCCACCTAGCGTCTAAGACTGTGGCTCAGGTATATTCGGAGCTTTGCTTCTTCCCACCCAGTATGGAAGCTTTAGGAGACTTGCCTGCTGCCTGCTTTACCTGTGTTTGTCACCTCCCCATGGGCCTCTCCTTCCGGGTGCTGGCTATGCTGGGGTCTTGGGGTCTCTTACCTTCCCTTGACTTTGTGCTGCTCCCTTGGACAGTCTTTAGTGGAGGGGTGATGTGGGAAGAGCTACACTTCCCTTTGCTCTCCTGTCCCTTAATTCCCCAGAGCTTCACACATACAATGACTTTATCAAAGATTAAAAAGAGAGGGAGAGAGAGAACCTTAAAAATAGCTATTCTCAGAAGTTAAGAGAAAAAAAAAAAACACTCCTAAACTTTTGACAGGAAGTCACCTGAGAGATTAGCTCTGTGTTGGTGCATGGCTTGAGGTCTGTCCTCCTCAGAGTAAGTGCTCCTCTTTCAGTCCTCCACGGGGCAAACTCCCACTCCTGTCCACAGTGGATCCCCACTGCCCTCCCTACTCAGGGAGAGCCCATTGTTGTTCATTGGGGGGTGTTCCTGAAGTCTGAGTTAATCACTATGGATAGCATGGCCAGGAGCACCAGTGGGGAAGACGCTCTCCTCGGGGGTCTCTGGGATCCTTTGAGCATTGACCCACGCTTAGCACACAGGGCATACAGATCTCCGAGGACACTTGCCTTCCAGACCTACCAAGGAGAGAAATGCTTTTCTAGAAGGCAACATACCTGCAGCTGTATTCTCTGTCTGCCACAGAAGAACAGTTGTCTTTATTGTGCCTTGACCTTTCCTCATCTTTCAGCTGCCATGTCGTGCCCAACGGCTTAACAGTACAACAGAAATGGGACTCAGCACCCAGTACTGTGCCTCTCCAAGCCTCCAGGCCATTTGGCACTGGCCACTCCCACTGACTAGGTCAGACCTACAGGTTTGCTTACCTGGGGTTCCATCCCATCCTTAACTGGTGGGATGGTGGCCTTGCAGCTGACTAGGAGAAACTGAAGGTGGTACAATGGAGTGAATTCTCTAGGAAACAGAAGGGGTCAGCCTACTTGGCCTGTTTTGGCTGGGTCATTTGGTCGTTTTTCTAAAGGCCAAAGTTCATGCTCTTTTGACCAAAGTTAGGGATTTTTTTTTCATCAGGGGAGTTAAATGAGCTATTTGCACTTCCATATTTTTGAAAAGCGGCCTTTCACTCCAGCAGGCTCAGGCTGCCAAATTGGTGTGTCCCCCCATCTGTGGACACCAACATCACAGCCACCCAGAGCAATGGGGCAGATCCCGGTGGTGACTGAGCAGCAGGTTGAGGCTTTGGAGACCCGTTTTGATGTGTCTTTGATCCCTCCACACGTGGCTGAAGGCACGTGGGAGACAGAGTGTGGACCTCAGGCCTTTGCTGCAACATCATGAGAAAACCAGGACTCCCCTGCTGCCTGTAGCTGGTGGGTGGGTAGGAGGAGTTTACTTAAAAAAAAAGTTAGACCCTAGGGTTGGGGCTGGGGTTTGTTCAAGGGCTGGGGCAAAAGGAGGTGATAGAAAGGAGGGAGCTTGAAAATTGCCAAGGGAGGAAGGAAGGGCTCAGTTGAACAGATCAGTCTTTTTCCTTTAGGAGGGGACTGGAGAATGCTCCATCATGGTTACAGAAGAGCTTCAAGGGCCGTGGGACCTTCTTTAGCCATTCTCACCAGCAGAAAGCCACAGGGAAGAAGAGGAAAAGGGTGAAAGAAGCCCAGAGTGATAAAAGGGAGTCTCTATTCTCTCCCATTCTTTAAAACCAGAGCATTTTGAGCAAACCACCATTAAGACACTTGCTTTATTGATTTTTATAAATTTTTATTTGGCTATTTTGGGGATGGGGGGAGACAAAAATCACTGAAGGAAATGTTCAAAGCTGGGAGGAAAAGTGGTTGGTGACTTTTTTCCCACATTTGTAAAACATCCTTTCACATTTTGTCTGAATGCCTATTGCCCGTTGCCAAATCCTAATTCAATTAAAGGTTTAGCAATGAACACCAGTTTAGAATTGTTTTGCCATCTCTGCTCAGGACAATAGGCAGTGGAAAGAAGTGAAGAGGGGGGTGTCAGATGCCACACACTGGGGGATATGGGTGCTATGGGTCACCTGCAGCCATCTAGCTTTAAAATGACCGGGGAAGAGCCTCCTGCATTCACTGTGGGGAGAAGTCAGGAGCTGGGCTGGCCTGTGTCTTCAAAGTGGCAGCTTTAGAAATCAGGAGAGTCTCCTGGGACCAGCTCAAGCTGCAATAAAATGCGGTGCCATTCATGCATTAAACAGATCCTTACAGAGAGGCTGCTGCTCTGCTAGGCGTTAAGGACAGCCCTCTGGAAGACAGATACAGCCACATCTGGCAGCTGCATGGAGGCCAGCAGCCCGAGACCCTGGGTGATGATGCATCTTGGGCTTCTGCCACCTGCTAGCACCACACTCTGACCCAAACCTTCACATGGGACACCTGGCACCAAGAAGGAGGATAGAGATGTTTGAATCTAGGACCAGATACTTACTGGATTAATGACTTGGCCTCTCAGAGCTTCAGGTTCCTCATAGACTCCCACCATAAAGTAGGTATGATAGCACCTATCTTGGACGGTTGTAACGATAGTCATCTGTCATTTGACCAGTGCTGGAACATATAGGTATATAGGTGCTTGGAAAAAGGTGGCTATTTTGAAATATTCTATGATTTAAGCCCTGGTGTGCTTAATACCCCCCTGAAACACCTAAAGTTGAGACTTCAAGATGTATAAAACCTTCCAAATAGATTCATGCCACATTTATCCACCCTCCCTCTCCAAGCATACACATGCACTGCTGAATCTTCCAGAAGGGGAGGTCCTAAGGGTGCCAAGCCTGAACAGATACTGGGAGGAGGACTCGGGGCATTCCCTCCAGACAGTTTTCCCAAGACCCTCCACTGCCATTGGGAAAAAGAGTGTGGGAACCCCGGGAGTCTTAATTTAGGCAGCCAAAGGGTGGGCCTTGGGAGCTCCAGCTCTCTCAGATTTCTGGTCTGGCAAGATGGAGTATGAATAAGAAACTCAGTAAGCATTTAACTGCTGATTGACTCTGGGAATTCCCAATAGTATTCGCAATAGAGAAGGCAGGTCCCCTTCCCCCAAATGTCAGAAGCCGGCTTCCTCCGCCTACTCCTGGTGACTTCCACCGCCCTGGACACATGGGGGCGCTGCAGCCCTACTTTTGCTGGATGCCCTCCCCGTCCGAGTCCTGAAAGACCCTGATTTTCCTCTGTATCTGGGTGAGTTCACATTCTCTGTGTCTTCCTATGTAGAAATCAGCGAAAGCTCAGCAATGTACTTAGAAAATAAAACCAAAAATGTGCACCTTAAACCAGGAAACAAAAACTTACGCAAGCAATGCATTTTTTTAATTGTACAAACACTTAAAAGTATGTGTAAGCAAAAAGAATTCCAAATACCCTGTGAGAATAATATTCAAAACACACACACACACGTGCACAAACACATGGAATGGGACGATAAGGGTGATTTTTATTTATTTATCAAGATAAGGTATCATTCTGCAAACTATTTTGTTATTAGCTTTTTCACTTAAAAATAGCCCTGCTTGCAAGCAGGCTCTGTGGTGCAATGGATAGCGCATTGGACTTCTAGCCTAAATCAAGAGATTCAAAAATAGCCCTGCTAAATATTTGCAATCTTTCCTACGCTCCTTTTTCCCCCAAAGTGACTTTGGATATCCAGAGTTACCAAATCTAGTATTTGAAGTCCTTAGGTTTGAGGGTTGAAAGTGAAAGGCAAGCTGTTTTAATGAAAATTCCTAACTGAAGAGAGCGGAGACTTAAGATGCTTAAATTTTGGTCACACCTGAGCGGTATTTGTTTGCATGGCAGTTAGAAGGCAGGTAATTTGTCCTAAAACTAAAACAGCAGTTAACAACCTTTAAATTCCCTGAGGAGATCCCTTCTTCCCCAACCAAACCTGTTCCCATTTCCTTCTAGACTGGTTGACGGTCAGGTGGGCTGATTGGTTCTCCCTGCTACAGTGGTAGAATTCAGCGCTGTACCTAGGTAAGAAGGGTTTTGGAGGGTGTATGGGAAGGTACACACAGGGTAGAGATGATAGCACAGGCTTTGTGGTCAGACTGGCAATGGTTCAAATCCCAGCTCTGTGACTTCTTGCCCAGGTGGGTGGCCTCAGGCAAATTACTTAATCGCCCAGAGCCTCATTGGTAAAACAGGGTCATAAAACTCTCACAGAATTGTGACTGGCAGATTATAAGCACCCAATGCTCTTTTAGGGGTTCACAAAGTTTTTCTGCAAAGAGCCAGATAGTGCATATTGTAGGCTTTGTGAGCCATACAGTCTGTATCATAATGAGTCAACTCTGCCATTGCATCACAAAAGCAGCCACGGACAGTATGTAAATAAGCGAGCAAGGCTGTGTTCCAATAAAAGTTTATTTACAAAAATAGATGGCAAGCTGGATTTGACCTGTGGACCATGGTTGACTGACCCTGCTCGTGATCATCCCCATCCAACAGAAATATAGCAGAGGCCACAGATAGAATACTAGATTTTCTTGTAGCCACACTATAAAAGGAAAGAGAAACAGGTGAAATTAGTTTTAAGAATAGATTTTATGCCCGGGCGTGGTGGCTCACACCTGTAAGCTCAGCACCATCGGAGGCCGAGGCGGGCAGATCACTTGAGGTCAGGAGTTCCAGACCAGCCTGGCCAACATGGAGAAACCCTTTCTCTACTAAAAATACAAAAATTAGCTGGGTGTGGGGGCTGATGCCTGTACTCCCAGCTACTTTGGAGACTGAGGCAGGAGAATCGCTTGAACCAGGGAGGCGGAAGTTGCAGTGAGCCAAGATTGTGCCATTGCACTCCAGCCTGGGTGATAAGAGTGAAACTCCATCTCAAGAAAAAAAAAAAAAAAAAGAATAGATTTTACTTACCTCAATATATCCAAGTTATGATTGCTTCAACATGTAACTAATATGAAAAATTCCTTAATGAGATGGTACATTTTATTTTTTGGTAATATTTTCAAACTCTGCTGGTATTTTAAACTTATGACACATCTCATTTTGCACTGGTCACATTTCGAGTGGTCAGTAAAACGTAACCTCAATATTGCTTCTCAAACTGCAGGCCAAAACCAATTTAGTGGGTCAAGAAAGCAACTTACTTAAAAAAAATCAAATTTTAAAAATGAAATGGAGGAGAATAGAAACTATCAGGGTACACTACATGTAGGAAGGACATGGGTCGTTTCTTGTACTTTGGTGTGTGAATGCCTGTGTGTGCACGTGCCTGTGTGTGGGTGTGCGCTGAGACATCATGAGAAAAAGAAGACATCTATTTCTTACTGTAGATTGCACACAGACATGTTTGAAACTCATTACTGTACGTGCTAAAGTCAAGTGGGTTTTTTGTTTGTGTTTTTGTCTTTTAGAGCAGGCTAACTGGGGTGTTTAGCTAGTGCTTCACACAGGCTGTGCTGTTGACCGAATAAACATCCAAAACCAGCTAAACCAGTTGCTAAATGTCATAGTGACCATTTAAAAATACAAATCAAAGTTTCAAACTTTAAACTTTATTATCTCTATTCTTAGCTTTAAAGCATGCTCATTTTACAGATAGCAAACAGAAATCCGGAAAAGTGAAATACTTAAGACCCCAAAACCTTGGCTGGGCCCAGTGTCTCATGCTTGTAATCCAACACTCTGGGAGGCTGAGGTGGGAGGATCACTTGAACCCAGGAGTTTGAGACCAGCCTGGGCAATATAGCAAGACCTGGTGTCTACAAGAAAATTTAAGAACAAAAAAGAGGCTGGGCATGGTAGCTCATGCCTGTAATCTCAGCACTTTGGGAGGCTGAGATGGGTGGATCACCTGAGTTCAGGAGTTCAAGACCAGCCTGGACAACATGGTGAACTCTGTCTCTACTAAAAATACAAAAATTAGCCAGACATAGTGGCTCGTGCCTGTAATCCCAGCTACTCCGGAGGCTGAGGCAGGAGAATCGCTTGAACCCGGGAGGCAGAGGTTGCAGTGAGCCACGATCATGCCATTGCACTCCAGCCAGGGTGACAAGAGTGAAGCTCTGTCTCACCAAAAGAAAAATAATAATAAGAAGAAGAAGAAGGAGAAGGAGAAGAAGAAGAAAATACTAATAGTTAAAAACAAAACAAAAAAAAGACCAAAAACCTGAGAAGTAGTTTTGGAACGAGAATGAGGAACTCTGTGAACTCAGCCTTGAGCTCCTTCCTCACCTGCTGGGCTCTCTACCTGGGCATGTGAATGGGAAACTGGGCCAATTCACCCAGTGATTTAAGCATTGAGTCATTTTTTTGCTTGGAATATTTGAATATATGAAATAAAAGTTAAAGAGGTATTGCTTTAAAGCACTTCATTCTCTTATTGATTCTTTTATTGACTCTTCCACAAATATTTTTTTTCCCTCAGTTTTTGGTCATCTACATATTTAGGTTTTTAAAAAATTAAATTAGTTTTGTACTCAGGGGTACATGTGCATGTTTGTTACGTGGGTATATTGCATACTGGTGGGGACTGGACTTCTAGTGTACCCGTTACCCAAATAGTGAACATCGCATCAAATAGGTAATTATTCAACCCTCACTCCCAGCCCCTTTTGGAGTCCCCGGTGTTTATTATTTCATCTCTATGTCCACGTGTACCCAGTGATTAGCTACCACTTATAAGTGACAACATGTGATATTTGGTTTTGTGCTTCTGAATTAGTTCATTTAGGGTAATTCCACCTGCTCATGCTTTCTGAGCATCCGAAGGTGTATCCTGCTGGGAAACAAATGTGAAGGAGGCATAGGCTCTACATGCTCACAATCTGGGGTAGGGTGTTATCTTTCAATAAAAACATGTCTGAGTGGGGCATGGTGGCTCATGCCTGTAATCCCAGCACTTTGGGAGGCCGAGGCGGGAGGATCACTTGAGTCCAAGAGTTTAAGACCAGCCTGGGCAACATAGGGAGACTTTGTCTCTATAAAAAATACAAAAATTTAAACAGGCATGGAGGCACACACCTGTAGTCCCAGCTACTTGGAGATTGGGGCAGGAGGATGGCTTGAGCCTGGGAGGTCAAGGTTGCAGTGAGCTGTGATCACACCACTGTACTCCAGTCTGGGCAACAGAGTGAGACCCTGTGTCAAAACAAAACAAAACAAAAACAAACATGTCTGAGATTATTTCGAATGCTATAAAAAAGAGTTTGTTTCATCTGGTATGTAGTGCCGTAAAAGATGAAAATGTGAAACTGATGAAACTCACTTTTCCTCCCTGCTCTTTAGCAATGGGATGAAAGACATTTTAAATAAATCTATGACTCATCGGGTCTTTCTCTTTTCAGTAAAAATTATTTAAGGCCTATTTTCTGGAAATAAATTCTGGGTAAACCCTACTCCCCTAATGGGATCCCATTTCTTCCTTTCCCCGAGGGTTGATACGTAGAATGAACACAGTCTTTGGATTCAGGCAGACTTGGGTATAAATTCTGCCTCTACCACTTCAAGACTATGAGGCTTAGGCCATGTTCTCTAAGACTCAGCTTCCCCATCCATAAAATGAGTATGATAACGCTGACCTCATAAGGTTGTAGTAACGATTAGTTGCAAGAATATATGTTAATTAAGAAAAAAGTTCAAGTGTGAAAAATGCTTTTATATATGAATTTTTGGTATGAATAAGTTTTCATCACATAGCTAATTGAGTCTAGAAATGATTTTGTTTGTTTTTGTTTTTTTTTGTCACTTCCTCCTCCTTCCAGAAAGGTGCAGTGGGAAGCTGAGAAAGGCATTTTGGTTCCCTTATTTTAAGGTCCTGATGCTTAATGGCTTACCGACTGCATTTTTAAGATATTGTTTCCCTACCCATTCATATCTCTGTCTTATACATGTATGGTTTCTGTCAGTAATTCAACATTCACAAAAAAATGGCCCAGACATTATTTTAAAAAAGAACAAAAAACAAATAGGCCTTGCAGTTGTTACCATGGCAACCAAATACTTTCCTGTCATTTATTCAGAAGTGAATTATTAATGAGCTTTGTCTGGGACATAGTCAGAAAACACACCCGTTACTCTCCAGGGGAAGGTAATATGGCTTCTGTAGCAAGCAAGGTCACAGTGTGGAAAAGTAGGGGATGTTCTTGCCTCCTCATCCAGTGTGGGGAAGACCCAAATGAGCCAGCCATTTACATGGGAGCCTCCTCAGTGGCCAGAGACCCCACGTTTCTGGCATTTTGGGATTGCATAAAAAGCTGGGCCCCTCTCTGAGTCACTTTTCTAGAAGCAGCATCTTGAACTGGCATTTCTTCCCCCACCCACCCCAGAATGATTTGACCCATTTCTTCTTAGGTAATTCTCTCCCACACATTAAGGCAGCCATCTTCAGTGATTGATTGACCAGGATCAAGTACATATACCAATTCTACAGGAGAATGGGGGTGAGGGGAGGTGCCAGAAGATGGGAAAGTCAGAAGGTCTATTTTTGCAGATTACTGGGTGTGGTGGATACCTGTAATCCCAGCACTTTGGGAGGCTGAGGCAAGAGGATTGCTTGATTCTAGAAGTTCAAGACCAGCCTGGGCAACATAGCAAGACTCCATCTCTACAACAAATAAAAAAGGGGGAAAAAAGATGTAAATTTTTGCCCCTTGTTCTTTTTTAAAAATGAAAAAGCACTGCAGGTTAGTCACCAAGCTTCTCAGACAAGGTAATTTTAAGGAATGTATTTAAGCTTTCTAAGTCCCAGTTTCCATGTTTGTAAAATGGGTTTAATAGTAGGACCACATTATTTAGGGGTGGTTGTGAGGATAAATGCATAGGAACTATATGAAGAAGTTCCTGACACACATTAAGCCCCTTAGTATGTTAGCTATTGCTTTTAAAATGATTTATCCCTAAACCATATATCAATATTGCTTGAAGGTTGAATCACCTGAAATTTGTTATGATTTCAAAATACAACCTTTTAAACTGATGGGTTTTTTGAATTTTCAAAAATAAAAATTGATGTTCTTTTGATTTCTTTCAAAAGAAGATGCTTGAAATAGCCATCTGAGTAGTAACATATTGATGCCTTTTCATCGGCACCTTTCTTCAGTTGATTGTTGATGTACACTGACATCCCTGAATTTCATTACAGCAGTGACTGAGGGTGTCAACGTCTACAGGTATCTGGAAACCATATTTATTTTAAATGACATCTTTTTTTTTCTGGCACAATAAAAGAGTGAGGAATGAGAGAAGACAAGATAGGCCTAAGAATTTAGATATTCCATGGAAAAAACAAACCTGAGAGTGTGAAAGAAATATAGCAGGGAACATGGTTAAGGTTCAGAGAAAAGAAAACTGTCATTATTTTTATTTTATTTTATTTTATTTATTTTATTTTTTTGAGATGGAGTCTTGCTCTGTCGCCCAGGCTGGAGTGCAGTGGCGCCATCTCGGCTCACTGCAAGCTCCGCCTCCCGGGTTCACCCCATTCTCCTGCCTCAGCCTCCTGAGTAGCTGGGACTACAGGCATCCGCCACCATGCCCGGCTAATTTTTTGTATTTTAGTAGAGACGGGGTTTCACCATGTTAGCCAGGATGGTCTAGATCTCCTGACCTCGTGATCCACCCGCCTTGGCCTCCTAAAGTGCTGGGATTACAGGCTTGAGCCACCGCGCCGGGCCAACTGTCATTATTTTTAAAGCTTCACTGTGTTCCTTGCTCCTGTGTCCTTTGTCTAAATTCTTCTAACTTTGATGAGCCAAATTCTACACATAGTTTCACCCAGAGAACCTGCAGGCTCAAGAAAAAAATACTATTATAATAATATATGATGATATAAGATTGGTTAGAAGATGCTAAGGAGAATCCAAGCAATCAGAGAAAAATAAAACCAAGCTCCCTGTCTTTGATATAGCACATCTTGGGGAAAGATCAAGTCAGAAAAGCAGATGGCCGGCCTGGCTCATTGTGGAATTGGTATTCTGAGATAACTTACAGGTCCCAAACCATGTCGCTGTAAGGTGTTCTGAGAAAGAACATTTGACTGCTACCCAGACCCCTCTGCAGGTTCTTCTGTTTAGGGAGAATGGGAGGCAAAACACTACAAAACCTGTAGGCTTTAGAAATAGACAGACTAGCTGTGTGACCTTGGGGAAATTGCCTAACTTCTCTGAGCCTCAGTTTGCTCACCTGGTAAAAGGGAGATAATATTTCCCTTTCAGGGTTGTGATGAGGATGAAATGGAAAAACCATCTGATATGTGCTTGTCATAGATTATCAACAGCTGTTACCTCTCTTCTATGTACTGAAAAAGCCATCTGTTACCCTAATTCATAAAAAGGAGGGGAGGGCAGGGATGGTTTGAGCTTGGACATTTTCTGGCCTTTCTCAATGACAATTTAGAATGCAGTGAGGGGAAAGCTTTTATTTTTGAATATTTCTATTTCACTGTCTCACTGGGTCACTCTGGGGCCTCTAGAAATTGTATTCTCCAGATATAGTATGATGTTGTCAGCATATGCATACATTTTTATCACTTCTTTAGTTTATCTTTGTATAAACCACATATATCTGGGAAATTTAACCAACTGCCTTTCTACAAGTGGTGTCATATTTAGGCAGATGGTTACTTTTTGGGTACACAATTGTGTAGGGAAGCCATCTTGCACTGAGACTCTGAGACCATGGGCTTCCCAGCCTTAGCATCTTACTTACTGTCACCTCTCTAGGCTTTAGAGGGGTTGATTATTGGGTTTCTAAAATCCTTCTAAATTTCCCAAATTCTATGGTTCAAAGTCTTTGTGTAACTGTCCAATAGAACAAGCATATAAGTGGCCAAACTTCTGTGATGATACTCCTTTCCCCTAAAGCCAGTGAATCTTCTGAACATTCAGAAATTGGGATACTGGTGAATATGCCACAGTGGAAATGCATAGGTAACTTCAACAAGCAAATAATCTTCAATGATGAATCAATATCTTCTAATCCACTGAGCCTAAAGCTGCAACTGTTTGAGATTCATTAAGGATTCTTAAATCTAACATGTATTTGTCATTTTGAATTATGGCCATATGCTTTGCAGATGGCCTCTGAGTGGGTCTTCCTTATTCAAGAAGGAGTAGGGTCACATTCATTATTTGTACATTACTTTTTTAAAGATTCATGGGATTAAAGGATGAAATCAGAACTCAGACAATCCAGGAGCAACCTGCGTGGATGAGAATAGTCATCTTCCATATTCCACATGGGATCTGTACTTTCAGTTAAAATATTTATATAATTATGGTATCATTAAAAAAGTCATTTCCAGATCTCACTGACTTCGTTGATGAATCACCCACTCACCGGTTTAAGTTACATGTGACAAGACAGCTTCTATTACTATTTTGTTTCTTGTTCTTGGATTCCATGAGATATCTATACTTAGCAATATGATACTCTCCTCTTTTATTTGCACTAGGGTGAACGTATTTCTCTTTCAAGCAACCAAAAAAGTCCTGGCTGGAACAGAGGAGGCGATGGCAGGCCATTGCTAAACTTTGCTGTGTTGTGGCAGTACAGTTTCTGTCCCTTTTATCTTGTTAACTGTCAGTACTCCAAACAAGCGAGTAGAACAATTGCCATCCGTTCAGCATGAAGAACCCCATGGAAGGGATCTAGAGGGAGATGTCACACCATAGATGTACTGAGTGAGATGGTATCATGGTGGCCATTCCTCAAAATATCAGCACTGCCCTCCAGAATCCACCCAGATGACATTGATCAAGCATCTACTGTAAGCCAGACACTTGGAGAGGTGCTGGGAATACAGAGATGAGAAAGACAGGGTATTTGCTCTTGGGTGGTTCATTCCATAATGATAGCAACAACTTATATAGAACCTGTTCTATGCCAGGCATTGTTTTAAATGCTTCATGTATGTTAGCTTGTGTGATCTTCAGAACAACCCCATGAGGTGGGAACTATTCTTACCATCCCTGTTTTATAGACAGGGAAACTGAAACACAGAGAATCTGGGTAACTTGCCCTAGTTACATAGCTAGTGAGGAGCAGAACCAGAATCCAAACCTAAGCAGTCAGCTCCAGAGTTGGGCTCCCCACTGGCACATTCTGCTTGTACTCTCCTTTTCTCTGATAATCCCATGACATCTTTATCTCCTTAAGCCATATAGCATTTTCTTAGGCTTATTTCTTTCATAATAACCATTATAAAAATAACAACAACAAAAAATACTTTCAACCAAAAAAGGCAGAAAAAAGGCAACACAACATAACAAAATTAATTTACCCAGGTCCCATTACTGTTGTCATTTTAGTTTATGTCCTTTAAATTTGTGTCAAACTAACATAGTATTTTCAGGCATGCTTTTTTCTTTTAGGATTATGCCAGAGTTTCCCCACTATATTCTTTTTTGACATAACTTTTAATACACTACCAGTTTGAGTGTTTTCCAGTCATGGCTACACTATACAATTGACTTAACTGATCCCTTACTCTTGGACATGCCTAAAATTCCTCTGTCATAACACTGTTGTGAACATCTTTGCATATGTATTTTTTTCTATATGTCTGATAATTTTCTTAGATGGTGTAGGCTTTTAACTTTTGGAGCGTGCAGGTAGGAAAAGCAGGATCAGTTTTCAGATTCAGATTCAAAAGAAACATTTAAGCTTTTTTCACTCCTAGAGAGCTGGAAACAATAATACCTTAAAGGTCTAAAGCATGATCTAGATCATTCACCTACCCTTTAGGAGGACTTTTTTTTTTTTTTGAGACTGAGTCTCGCTCTGTTGCCCAAGCTGGAGTGCAGTGGCGTGATCGCAGCTCACTGCAACCTCTGCCTCCTGGGTTCAAGTGATTCTCCTGCCTCAGCCTCCCATGTAGCTGGGGCTACAGGCACCTGCCACCACGCCCAGCTAATTTTTGTATTTTTAGTAGAGACAGGGTTTCACCATGTTGGCCAGGCTGGGCTTGAACTCCTGAGCTCAAGTGATCCACCCACCTCGGCCTCCCAAAGTGCTGGGATTATAGGCGTGAGCCACCGCACCCAGCCTTAGGAGGAATGTTAAAACTTATGCTTTGTCCTTTTGGAAATATCATGTATCTTCTTCCTATGAAATGGATTCATGATGTTCCATTATAAGTTAGCTAAACAAAGATTTCACTGGTCTAGTTGCCCCTGTGGCCCATCTTGAAGAATCACTCTATGGAATGATGGGCAATCAAACACAAGAGGATCAGGAAGAAACAAAATAGGTTTAACAGAATCTCTGTAATAGTGAAAATATCGACAGGTTGACAAGGACCACAGGGAAAGCACAGTATGAAACAAATGGTAAGTAAAGGTCCAACAAGTGGTGGGTGATTCAGTGAAGAGACAGCAATGCAGAGTGGTTACCACGGGCCTTGTAGGAACATGGAGCTGAGTTTGATTTCATTTCTTAGTTTCTGTGTCATCTTGCACAAGTTGTTCCATTTTTCTAAGCCTCAGTATCTTCATCTGTAAAATGGGCATGTTATCATACCTGCTTCATAAGGTTGTTGTGGGAATCTAACCAATCATGTAAGTACAGATACAGTTACTGTTTGTTGGCTTTGTGCAGGGTACTGTATTTTTACAATTTCATCATCATTTTCTTCATTGTCACTTCACTCAGTGGAAGGGGACTATGTGATAAGAGATCAGTACTCATTGTTGCAGAACATGAAATCATCATAGTTGTGTGTTTCTGGGAAAGACAATAAATTAAAAGGTGCAATATGACACTTACAAGAAATACGTACTCCCCTTTGTTTTCCTGAAGTACAAAGTAGGATCAGGTTGGAATTTCCCGCCTGTCTTCTGAGGCAAACAAGAGCAGTTTGGGGGCCTCGCTGAGGGGGCTGGTGTCCTCTGAACCAGCAGGGTAGGCATGAGTGGACAGGCTGTGGCTTGTACTTCAGTGTCCCTCTGATGTTTTTAAAAATTGACAGCTATTGAAGATTTTTCGGGCTGTTCTTGGTGGGACTCAAACTCAAAGAGAAAGAAGGGGTGATCTTTATGGGTAAGGTAACTGGGATGTCTAGGGATTCAGCAGGCTTTGGATACAGCAGACAGAGGGCTGAAAGGCTATCTAGACTTTGCTACTCTCCCCATCTTTTGGTTGGGTTTTCTTCTGGGTTGTTGTCCTTTCAGGCAATGATGGGTTTGGCAGCTCAAGACTTACAGCATCCTCAGAGAAAATGATTTCAGCAATGGAAAGTGCCTCTTTTCTGATACTTCTAGGAAGAGGCCCAGAGAAGAGTCTCATTGGCTGGGCTTCAGCCACACCCATTCTTGGGCTGACCACTGTAGGAAAGGATTGCTCTGATTGCCCAGTCTGGATCACCGTGTGATGACAATCACACGATGGGATGACATGGAAAAGGTGGCTGCCCAAAAAGCTGCCCGAATGATGAAAATAAGAGAAAAGAAACAAAGGGATGAAAGGAGGAAAATATATGTGGCTACTGCAAACTCTTAAAAAAATCTCATAATTGAGTAACTTATACCTGAGCTCTGTAATACTTCACTCCAACTTAGTTTGTCAAGGAGTTTTCTTTTCTTTTCCTTCTCTTTTCTTCTACCTCCATCCCCACTACGTGTAATTTTGTCAGATGTTGTCTTCTATTGCCTGAAACTTTAGCAGTCACTGTGAATCCTGTTTCTTTAAGCCCAGGGTGTCATTGGGAGCATAACAGTCATCCAGTGCAGCTCAGCTTCTCCCTACAGATTCTAAAAATACCCAGAGGCACTCAAAACAAACAGCGAAGCACTGAGGCACTGCCCGTGCAGACACCCACACACTCCCCTCTTTAAACTGCCTTAGCGCTGTCACTATAGGGAGAATCAGCAACTCACGCAGCCCTTTTATTTATTTATTTTGTTTTTATTTATATACCTCTTTATGCAGAAGAGATGAGGGGTTCCTGATGGAACAGAATTGATTGGAAGAAAGGGAAAGAGGGAGACAAACAGCAAAAGTGTTTGCACTGTCTTTTTGCAGCTCGCTGTAGACCTGAACTAAGATGTATCGAGAGATCAGACCAATCCAGGGAGTCGCACAGATTAGCTGGGATTTAAAATAAAACTCTTTAACAAGAGATCACCTAGAATAACTCGCACATATGCATCCATGAAGAGGCCCAAGGACCACATTTGGAGAAGGTTAGTGCTCACAATGACCAGGGCTACAACCTGGCTTATTTTTCAGAAGCAAAGCAAAAGCCAAGGCCTTTTCCATGGAATCTTTAGGTGGAGTCGAACCACCCAGAGCATCAGGGTGTTCTTATGTCAAGGAGGTGTTTCATTTCACAGGACTGCAGAGCTGAGGGTATTGGCATTGCATGCTGTGCATCTACAGTTTGGGAACTTGCTTAATGTTGATTGTCTTATCAAACCAGTGAGCTCTTGGGTTTTTCAAAAGCAGGCTGAGGGATTAAATGATAAAATCAGATGGATTATGAAAATATGAGAATCATGGGAATTATAACAGGTATGACCTTTTATAGATTGCCTGGGACAATCAGGTGTCTGCTTAACATAATGAACCTGACCCGGTATCAGCGTGCAAGTAAAGTCTTTGCAGTCGGTGGTTAAATGGAGTTTATTAAATATTGTTAGTGATAATCATGGAAAGGAGAATTTAAAATGGCCATAGCTTCTAACCAACTCTGGGGATGTCTGGATGACATTTGTTTTGGCTGTTGGGATTCGCCACGTAAGTAATTGATTGCCCAGAAGTTGTTCTCAGATCAAGCTTTCAATTGGCCGGTTTATGGCAGGATCCTGGGATTTAAATTAAAAAGTGAAGCCTTAAGGATAAGCATAAGTAAGTTCTTGGGACAGAATGTGCTTAGCATTGTTTCCATCCATAAGTGAGTGGAGGAAGCCTGCGTGCCCCGGACATATGCTTTTCACTGGGAAAGGCGATCAAATGTCTCTCTTCCTCTCTCCCTAGACTGATTCTCATGGAGAGTCCTTGGCATGTTCTCAAGCCTGAAGCAAAGGCTTCTAAGCTCCCAAATTGCTAGGTGATCTCTCCCGAGGAATATGTCCGAGGCACAGGTGCCATGTTCTTTGTGGGTGGGAGTTTGCTTACCCAGGATTTTATGTCTGGCTTAAAAAAAAGTCTGTATTGCCTATTGAAATTGCATTGTCTAAATGTGGCAAAGGATTTGCAATAGTTTTGTGAATCAGGGCAGTCTAAAAATTTTATTAGTAATAACAGTAGCAGCAGCAATAACAAAGGCTGGCATTTACATAGACTTCCTATGTGCCGGGCACTGCCCTCTGTGTCACAATTTTTCTTTTTTTTTGAGACAGAGTTTTGCTCTTGTTGCCCAGGCTAGAGTGCAATGGCATGATCTCGTCTCACTGCAACCTCCACCTCCCAGCTTCAAGCGATACTCCTGCCTTAGCCTCCTGAGTAGCTGGGATTACAGTCATGTCACCACCACGCCTGGCTACTTTTGTATTTTTAGTAGACATGGGGTTTCTCCATGTTGGCCAGGCTGGTCTCGAACTCCTGACCTCAGGTGATCCATCCCCCTCGGCCTCCCAAAGTGCTGGGATTACAGGCATGAGTCACTGCGCCTGGCCATGTGTCACAAATTTTAATGCATTTAATTCACAGACAATGGAGCTTCAGACTTACCCCTCCATCTTCTCCTTCCCCTTCCATGAGCTACATTTAGCCGCATTGGCTATGCATCCTTGCCAATCTGGCCAGGTATTGCCAACTTTAACTGCATCCTTATAGACAACTATTCATAGAGCTTAACTGAAGAGAACCACGGGTTATATATTAGTCTGGAGACACTCTTGCCTGTCACACTCTTGTTGCTTTTGTGAGCAGTAAGTTCAAGGCACAAGACTTATCAATCCAATTGAGAGCTTCAGTTACAGGCAGACTTATTTTTTCACCCTGTCCTTCTTGTCTCCAATGCATTGGAAAGGTTCTTAATCTTATACTAGGTGGTTCTTAGTTTTCATGAAAATTTTCAGTTATTCCTAAAGACACAAATTGCTGATGTGAATAAGGGTGAGCGCTTTCAGAGATAAAGATGCTAACAAATCAGTGCAGGTTTGTGACAATTTTAAACTGCTTCAGACCAGCTAGCATCAATATTTTTTCTTGGTATTTCTTCTGTTTTTGATGAACGATGTCTACTATGCAGCCACAAGCTAATACTGCTGTCTTCCCAGGAGGCAGGGCCCTGGTGTCTTGGGTATCATCACCCAAACAACGTTTCAGAATAATCAGTCCCTAAAGTAATGCTTTGCAAAGGCATCAAGCCACTGTGATTTGAGCCTGGGCTTTAGGATCTGGGGGTTCTGCCTTTTTCTAAATTTGCATATTGCTTTTCCCGTTCAGAATTTGGAGTTAGTAACTGTGGAAGGGCTTTTGGGATGGGAGGCAGTGGTGGTGCTGATTATGTTTCCAAGTGTAAAACCAATCAGCTGGGTTTGGATTTCTGGGAGCTTGTGTGGTTCTGTATGGCTTTATTCTTCTGGCTGAAACTACTAAAGGAACCTCCAAGTTCCTGCACAATGTTGCTTCCATTTGCCATGTGCAAGTATTTTTATTTATCAATGGCCAGTTAGTGAAATAGGTTGTGAATCTGTGTTTCTTAAAGAAAAGCCAACACTGGGATAAAGAAAAAGAATGCTTGCAATTTTCTAGATAAGCTAGAACATGTCAGTATGTAAAATGAGAAAACAAAACAAAAACGTTTCTTTCTGTTCAGGGTCTGAATTATCTGGATTTGACAAATACGACAGGCAAAGTCAATGGAATAATCAGCATGAATATGCCTATTCAGGCCTATCTTTGCAGCTTACTTTTTAGGGGTTGTTGGGAGGTTCCTTTCTTGGTATCTACTTGATGATTTTTTTTCATCTTGCGAGTCTTCCTTGGAAATAGAATGAATGAAGAGAGCACAGACCTCGGCCATCAGGGATGTGTGGGCTTAAGTTCTGACATAGCCACTTAGCTCTCTGGTGCTGGACAAGTTCCTTAGCCTTTCTGAGCCTCAGTTATCTCACGAAAATAGAGTTGATCATCATCCCCCTTTGGTAACGAACAGATGGAATGACGGGTGTAGAGCATCTGTTACACAGTGCATGCTCTGTGGCATTCATCTGGCTGACCTGCAGCCCACTCTCTGAGTTGAGAACAAACCAGGGATGATTTGACAGAGATAGCCAGTCCAATATTGGTTGAAACAAGAAAGTTTGAAAAGGAAAAAGATGCCTACAGTCTCTTGAGACACGTGGTTTCCATTCTCTATCCCAACTTTACTGCTGACTTGCTGTACATCCTTGGGAAGTTGCTTAACCCCTCTGACCTTCAATTTCCTGATCTGTGAGATGGGAATAATATTAATGGCTCCTTCCTCCTAAGGATGTAGTGAGCGCTAAATGAGTTAATGGGGATAGAGTGTTTACGTCAGTGCCCCGCACATTGGAAGGGGGGACATACACCTATTTCTGCTTTACCATTCTGCCTGTCAGCCATTCTGATCTTCATGAAGACACTTGGCCTGCTCATTCCTCAGTGGTTATAGTACCAGCTGCATTTCTGGAAGCTCACTGCTGGCTACAAAATGACCTTCAACCTCCAAGTGATCCAGGCTTTTCCTAGCAGCTTCCATCAATGTGCAGGGGTTGAGGAAATTTGTCGAATAGCGACATTGAGGATATGAGTCAAAGAGAGGGGGAGATGATAGATTCATATCTTGAAGCATGTGGAAGTAATCTGGTTTTTGTTTTTGCTTTTTTTTCTGAAGCAGATCCAGGTGTCTAAATGTAACCATTGCCGGCTTAAAAAAAATTATTATTCACAATTGAAAACAGATATAATGTTAAATCAAGATGAGTAATTATTCACATACATAAGTGGAAACAGGATAATTTGGTTACAATTATAAAGATAAACATGTTGGTTTTTAACCCAAGAATGGCAGTGGCTTTGATCCTTTTTTCATTTACATTTTTTGTCTTTTGAAAATTTTTAAAAATTTCAGACAATTTTAGACTTATAGAAGAATTGGAAAAATAATACATAGAGTTCCCACATTCTCCTCCCTCAGCTTCCTTTAATGGTATCGTACGTATTACATAACCATAGAGCATTGATCGAAACTAAGAAATTAACTTTGCAACAATTGCTAGAATTTACTTGGATTTCATATTTTTCCAGTAATGTTCTCTCTCTGTTCTAGGATCCAATCCAGGTCCTGCACTGCATTTAGTTGTCATGTCTCTGTAGCTTCCTCCCATCTGAGATAGTTCCTCGGTCTTTCCATGTCTTTTCATGATCTTGACACTTTCAAAGAGGGTTTTTTTTTTTTTAATAGAATACCTCTCAATCTGGGATTGTCTAATATTTTCTCCATTTCTAGCTTTTAATTGACTGCACTAAACATACTTTACTGTTTAGGCCAAGGATCCAGTGACAAATAGGAGTTTTTAAGCCTAATAGATTGTCTAGATATTTCTGAGACTAGCCTGGCTGGTTATTACTGATACTGGAGGTTAGGAGTATGGACTGTGGAGCCAGACAGCCTGGATTCCGCTTCTGGCTCTGTGACTTACCTGCTGTGTGACTTTGCAAATGTTACTTGACTTCTCTGTGCCTTGATGTCCTAGTCTACCAATTGGGGATAATAATAGAATCAATTCTTAGGGTCACGGTGAAGATCAAGTAGAAGTATGAAGTGTGTAGAACAGTTTTTCACAGGTGGTGATCACTCAGTCTGTCTTAGCTTTTACCATTGCTCACCCTCCTCTGTAGCCCTCCTCATCCCAGTCCAGGCCCAGTGACCTGCTGATGCCACTGCCCGGGTCTGCAAGTACTTGTGTGGCTCTGACCAGAGTGACGACTTTGCAGCAAGGACCTGGGGTTTTTAGACATGGTTCTCGTGGCCCAACTGAAATAGCCACCTTGACTGGAGGGCCCAAAGCTTGGATGCTACTACCACACGGGGGTTCCATCTCCAGGGCCTCCTGCTGTGCTCAGCTCACCAGCCACCCACATCCTGCAACCTGCACCTGCAGTCGTGAGATCTACTCAGAAATGGCCCCAGGCCCGCTTCTTCTACTCTGCTTTACTGACCACTTTGTTCTGGGGGTTTTTGTCCTCTCACCTGTGTCTCCTCTCTTCCCCTTGTTCCTCTGAATTCACGTGAAGCGGGGAACCACAATGATAACACATTCAGCTTCTCTGGAAGGACTGACTGGGTTTGCTTCTCAGCCATAATTCAACTTCAATCTGGGCTTCAATGTCTTGGTATCTAAAAGAGGATGATCGTAGTAATAATAAGTATCATTAAATGTAATGAGGTTTTATTCTCTGCAGGGCACTACTTTATTATTTTTATTTTTTATTTTTTGTTATACAATTTTTATCTGAAAAATCCATGTTACACAAATAGTCATACAGTAAGTCCTCACTTAATGTGTAAAATAGGTTCTTGAAAACTGCGGTTTTTAAAAAGTGAAACAATGTTGCTATATGCCATTCAAATACCTTTTGTTTGTATCAATTAAACTATGGTAAAATTTGTTTTCTTAAGCAATATGTTGCTTCACTTACAGTTACAGCTTCCAAGAACCTGTCAACATTAAGAACTGACTATACACATGTACGATTTATATAGGTATGTGTATGTGTATCACCTTACACATTTATATATATAGATATATCTTAATGACACAGTGCCAGCAGGCTCCCTACTAAGTATAAGACAAAATTATAAGATAATAGTTATTAAAAAATAATAGATGGCTTAATATTTGCTTAGCAATGTTCTAAGCTCATTAATGACACAGGACATTTAAAAAATCTAGAAGGTGAGTAGATACTTTTAACCAGTGGTGTCCAACCAACCCTTTGAATGAGAGGACTTTTTTGCTTATCTGTGGTACAAATATCATGAAAACTATACACAAACCCTTTTTCTTTTTAGCTCATCAGCTATCATTAGTGTTAGTGTATTTTATGTGTGGCCCAAGACAATGTTTCTTCTTCCAATATGGCCGGGGAAGTCAAAAGGTTGGACACTCGTTCTTTAAATTTGGGGTTTGGCTACTGTCTCATCTATCTTCAAATTGTAGGTCTCTTTTCTTTGCTCCAGACAGGTGACCAGATCTAGGGAGGCCAGGTCTCTGTAATTCTCCAACAACACATCGCTATTTAAATTCTGCTGGGCAGGGTCCAGGCATTTCCACTCTTCTGGAGAGAATTCTGTGGCCACATCCCTGAATGTTAAGAGTTCCATTTCTCAGCTTCGGGAGTGTCTTGGAGTCTTAGCTATAAATCATTCAAAGCCAGCAAGTCACAGAGCGAGGGAGGCTGTGGTAGAATCACCTAGGCATCCCAGAGCAGAGGACACAGGGCAGTGAAGCCCTAACCTGCAGGGCACTACTTTAAATGTCACCTCTATTATTTTATTTAATCTTCATCACAAATGTATGACATATCTACTAACATAATCCCACTTCACAGATGAGGAAGCTGAGAAACACAGAGTTTAAGTAACTTGCTCAAGATCACACAGCTAAGACACGGAGGAGTCAGCATTCAAACTCAACCTGGCTTTGGAGCCGACGTTCTTAGGTACTACATGTGAGGGTTAAATAAGGTAATCTGCATGGAGTACTTAGCAAAGTGCCTGGCTCAGAGTTAATACTTTGAACTTGAGCTATATTAATCCCATGATCTGATTTCTGTTTCCTCTGCCTCCTGGTGTATATGACTCTGGGATGCTGTGTTAATCATTGACCCAGTGCTCTGTATCATGGCAATGGCTCCTTGCCCAGTTCTCAGACAAGTATGCCCCTTGCCCATGCTGCATTAGCCCTACCACTTCCTGCCCAGCAGATGGGGCACCCACAGCCCCTCACCTTGTTGCAGCACAGCCTGCAGCCCTCTCCCTGTTTCACATCTACTCATTTTCTGGGGTCTTTCCTGCGTTCCCACTTAGTTTCACCTTGTACCTCAACCTTTGTTTCTGCTTCTCTCACCCTTGTTTCTACCTTCTGCTCTCACCCACAGCCTGACCTCAGCCCCTCCCTAGACCAGCTGCTCCCCAGCCCTTTGCTTGGTTCCTGGGACCTGTTGTTTGGCACAGTCTAGGGGCAGAAGATCATGACTGGCATCCCTACCGGGTTTGTCCCATTCATGAGGGGGCCCAACCTGGCTATGGAAACAGCAGCACTTGGTCATGGGTCTTGAGGTCTGAAAGAAGGTGTTGAATGGAGAAAGGAGCTGAAAGGGCAGCTGCTCCTGCAGAAGGGACAGTGAGCAGGAGCAGGGGTGGCCACCATCTCACACGCCCTTGCCTCTTCCTGTGACTGGGCCCTGCTCCTCCAGGCTTTATCAAGTCACCATCTCTGAGAGAAGGTGCCCCAGTGCCCCACACATGGCTCATGCCCTGCTCTGGTGTGTCGTGCTTCTGAAATGTGGATCCCTGGGTTGTACATAGGCCTGAATCTCTGATCATGCTGTGAGCAGTGGGCAGAAGCCAGATGCCCCAGCCAGGCTGCCTGGGCTTGCATCCCAAACTACCATGTGCTAAACAAGTTCGAGCAAGTTACCCAAATCCTCTGTGCCTCAGTTTCCCCACCTGTAAAATGAAGATCCTTAAAAATACCAACCTCACAAACTTATTTTAAGGATTAAATGAATTAATCTAAATGAAGGGCTTAGAATGGTTCCTGGTGAAAAATAGTTATTGATTATAATTCTAAGAGTTATTGATTATAATTACAAGAATTATTGATTTTAATCATTGGTTGTAGATTCTTACTTTGAGTTATTGATTACAATTTATTATTGTCTATAAGTGCTATTGATTATAATTATAACCTACTGTAATTACCTTGATGATAATTATTGCTACAATAATAAGTTATTGATTATAATTCTTACTATGACTGGGAACTTCTTGAGGCCACCCAAAGCACCATACTCATATTTGTGGCTGGTCCTTTGCTAGGTCCTTCCTGGTTATTGAGAATAAGTTTGCAATAATCACCTGTGAAACTGAGGATAAATATCTCAAATAAATTGTATGGAGTGTGTACTTGAGAGATACTAAAATAACAGGAAAAGCTAATAATCTAGCTTTGGGAGTTGTCATGTGGCTAAATGCCCAGTCCCCAGAGCCACCAAAGCAGGGGAGAGGGGACCAATACACATGGTGACACCATAAGATAGCATAGCAGAATGAAGCCATCACCTGGGTGGCGTGATTTGTTGATGAAGGCTCTGTAAGTGAGGAGGGTCTGGTCCAGCTGAAAAATGAGTGAAAGATGCATCTGATCCTAAGAGACAAGAGAGGCCAAGGGGCAGCCTTGTAGTTTCTCTTTACCAGGCATACTTCCTTCCCTTGCCCTCTCCATCCCTTCTCTACTTTCTCTCCAAGTCACCTCTTTGTTTACTCCCTTCTGTCCTACATTGCACCCCTTTTGGTAGTTGCAGACAGTGGTGAAGGCACCATGACTGATGGGGGAGCCAGCTGCTGGGCCAGACCCCAAGGCTTCTTCATGCATTGTCCAGGAGTATTAGTGGCTCCAGAACTCTCAGGCTACTATCATTTTGTTTTGCATTTGCTTTTCCAACTGAAACAATTTTAGACCTGTAGCCTGGTTGAGTGAATTTCAAGATCAGGTAGAATAGTGCTTCTTACTGAAACTCTCATGTGTTTAAGAATCACCTAGGATTCTGATGGAAATGTGGTTTCTCATTCTGCAGGTCTGGTTGGGGCCTGGGGTTCTGCATTTGTATGGGGCTCCTAGGTGAAGTGGATGGTTGCTTGGGTGCACTCTGAGTAGCAAGAAGTCAGCCTGTTAATTCAGCTAATTGTACTTCTGACTGTTCAGCAAAGAAACAAAACTGTGAAAGTCTCTCAAGTATCGTTGCAGATGTTGCCTACTCCTAAAAACATTAAATGAGGTCACAGAGTCTCCCTTTGCAAAGATCTCAAGGCATCATGGGTGTGTTCCCACCCCTGGTGGTACTAAGGGAAACGAAGTCACAGGTTCAGGTTTCAATTCTCAGGGGACCCATCAGCTTCACTTTGCTCCACTGTTGTAGACTGCCCAGTGGCCATTGGTCACCAAAGTCATTGTAGTTGACAGATGGTGGCAGGGAGATGAAGAGTGAGAACAATCAGTAAAACCTGAGAGAGGAGGTTCTGAGGGTCCAGCTGGACCATGGTGGATACTTGCCTATGTCACTAGGAAGGGAGGGAATGTGGATTGGAGCCAAGTTGGTGCTGTATCAAAGTCATGAGGGAAGCTCATAAACAAGAGGCAAATGAAACAATGGGAAACAAGGAAATGGGGCTTGCATTCAGAGTTTCAACAGTGGGTGAGACAAAGTAGGTTGCTTTAGGATGAATGAGGCAAAGGGTTCTCACTGAGGGTAGCCACCTGGCCTACAGGTGCTGGACCAAAGTGAACACAGATGAGTCAACTCCACCCATTGTCTCTGCAAGAAAACAGCTCAAAACTCACCCCATGAATGAGAGAGGAAGATGCCACCCTTTGGGACTGTCTGTACCCTGGCAGAAATGGAATGATTTATCCAAATAAGCAAGGCAAGTTTTCATATATTTCATGTATTCTTGCATATATCTTAGCCATCTTTTCTTTTCCTGGGCCACTCAGCATGTGCAGCTCATGTTCTTCTTGGCCTGGGAGGTCATGGAAATTCTACCTGGCTGCTGCAATGCTGGGGAGGGATACTCAGCAATGGGGATTTCACTTTCTGCCATCCAGTTCTTCTTTCAGACACTGCCTCCAGTGAGACAGCCTCTCACATAAGATGGAAAGATGCACCTGCTCTCATTCCCCGCACTGAGCCCTCCTCTCTGCTCTTAGCTCTGGGTGGGAGCTGCTCTCTACCTCTCATGAAACCAGAGTACACCTTATAACACTCACTCTGTTCTTTGGGCTTCTCCTCCAACCCATATGTACCCTCTGTCAGGCTGCTGAGTATTTGCTAAGACCCCAGTCTTCTTTTCTCTTGGTGAGGCACAGTTGCCCAAAGTCACCACTGTCCTTGTTCACTTGAGAGCTGAAGTAACTTAGGTAGTTATTTCAGAAGAGATAATTTGACTCCTTCTTTGAGGAGGCTTAGCCCGGCACTGACAATGTGCCACCACTAAAGGTACCTAGGAAGAGGTGGAGGAATATTCTGTGGCCACTCCTGCCTCATCACTTTCCCTAAAGAGAGTGAGCTCTGGAATCACATAAACCTAGCCCCAGTTCTTAGAGGATCACATGCTTGACCTTCAGCAAGGCCAAGCCTGTTTCCTCAACTGAAGAATGGGGCAAGTAACACTGTATTTCCACATCAAGGTGTTGTGCAGGTTAAATTGGATGCTGTGTATAAAGCCCTTGCCTGGCTGATGGTTTAAGTGCATTATAAGTATTAACAATTATTGTTACTGACAACTGTGCTACAGCCTATTGGAGGGTCACGTATACTTTTCCCTTCATGCCTTTGCCCACACTGTTCTGCCTGAATCATCCTCCCTCTTCACCCCCACCCAATTTTGTGAGTCTGGTAAGTTTTACTTTACCTTATCCCAAATTCTTGATTTCTGACAACCAGATACTTTATTCCTATATGGACTGTTTCTTACTTGACTGGCTAGGGATCCTTATATTATGATTTTTGTTAGCATTAGTTATATATTTGAGTTACTGCCATGCTATCCTGCCCCAGCTCCTGCCTGAATACATACACCTTGTCATCTGGGCTGACGATGATGATCAGTTCTTAGAGGGCAAGGTCAGCTTTGTGTCACTTGCAAGGCAGAGCTTAAGAGGCAGTCAATAAAAATTCAGAATAAATGTATTGAATCTTGAAGTAGAAATTCTAAGTTCTTTTTAGGGATGTGTATGTGGCTGTGTCATTCTCTGGTAGGTGTGACGATCTCATGTGTGGGACAATGCTTTGGTAAGCATCAACAAAATGTCAGACCATTTAGCTTCTTTATCCCCAAGGCCCCATGGCTTTTTATTTCCAACCTCCAGCATGAGTTTCCATTCATTCTTTACATATTTTGTTTTGCTTCAGCTGGGGAGTGGGAGAGAGCCTCAAGGCATCTGGTAAGGAACCTGGAGCTTGGTAAGCTGATTCTAGTATGAGGATGGAAACCTACAACACAATCAGAGCTCATGAGTGATGCTGAAATATAACTTGTAATTTTTATACTGAAAGTGTTCAATCTCTCACCTTCCCTCACCTCGAGTTACATGACAAAAGGCCCTCTTTATTACTTTTGTCTCTAGAGCCCCCAGTCTCTGGGAAGGTGGTGGGGGAAAAAGTCTATTCTGGGATGTGTTATTTTTGCTGCCCACATATTATCCACTCCAGAGCAGGACTTGATGTTTTAAAACCAGGGAGAAGCCTCGGGAAGGGAAAGCAAGCAGCATATGTAGTATGAGCTCTCCCAGACTTGTGTTTTTCTATAATGTTAAAGTCTTCTCTCTAGGCAGTGATTTGAAGTGGAGCTTAATTAAAATCAGGCAAGAAGTGTAGAAATGGAACATTAAAAATAGAAAGGTACAGGAATGGCACTGTCCATCCCACCCCTGTCATAATGTCAGTGGCAGGGCTCTGCACTTCATTTTGCTTCTCCAAGTGGTGCTAGACAAGACCTCTGTCCTCATCTGCTTTCCTACACAAAATGGCATATCCCAGGGTAAGCTGGCATGCTTTGGGGGCCAAAGACGTGTCAGGGACATCATGGCTGGGCCTGAATCTACCCCAGCTGATAGCTTATGTGTATGCACCATTGTTCTCTGTATTTCAGTGTAAGGCAGCTAAGCAAGCCTGCAGAGCTAGGAAAAATAAAACAGGACAACAGTAAACATCTCTGACTTAAAATATTCATGACAACCCTTGCTGCTTTTTAGAACAGTTGTTTAGTAGAGTGGGAAAAGCAAGGCTACGTGAGCTTGATAGATTACTCAACTGGACCTTACTTTCTTTATGTGTAGAATGGATATCAAAATGCCTACCATATAGATTTGATGATAATCAATAATAATGTCAGCCATAATTGATTGAGCATGACTGCAGGCCAAGCATTTTTTGAAAGTCTTTAGGAGGTAGGGACTATGATTATCCCCATTTTGCAGACCAGGAAAGAGAAGCTCAGGGAGGTTTAGTGACTTTTCCAAAATCACACAGCTAGGAAGTGGTAAAGCAGGACTCAGACCTGCAGCTGACAAGCTGTAAATTCTGTGTTGTCAGTAGCTCAACCATACCTGAGTAAAGATCCAGGGAAATCATATAGCTTTACTCAAAGTGTGAAATGAATGTTCTGATGAATTGAAAGATGATTTTAGGGGGCACATGAGATGATTGGGGGTGCATTGATGAGGGATTAAGTTATGTCCTATCATGGGGTGAGAAAATTATTCCTTTTTAAATTCTTTTTCAATCTTTCTGAGTATGACAAGGATTAAACTTTGATTAGGTGGTGCTGTGCCTTCAACACCGTCTAATACTTTTTAACCTCCATTTTTAACAAACAGAGCAGATAGCAGAGGCTTAGCAGACAATAATATCTAGCTAGAATTCAGTAAAAAATGGTTTTATGTCATATTCATTTTCACTTCCACCCTCTATTTATGGCAGGTGATACTGGATTTTTATTGATGGTAGTGATCTAAAATTTTGTCTTAGAATACACTTACTGGAGTACAAAGAATCAGTCAGTGTTCAACACTATTACAGAAATAATACTAGAGGTGGCGTTCACATAGGGCAAAAATAGCAGAGGCTGAACATGAATGACTCAAGCATGAGAAATGCTGTGATAGCCTGTGAGCAGTTTTCAGCTGATGGTAGCACGTGGATCATAATAAACGTCAAGGACAGAGTGAAGGAAAAATGTAACTCTCTCTTCTGATCTCTTAATAGGAGAAAAGAAATGAGCTGCTTATGAACTAGATGAAACAGTCTTCTGACATTTTGGGTATGAATTTAGCCTGTTCTGAAGGCTGATGGGTAAAGCAGGGGTTCGGGAAAATGGAGTTTGCTTTGGTCTTCATTGAACCATAGAAGCTGAGTGCTGGGGACGGAACTTAAGCTCAGGATCAGATCCTGTGTTAGACACATGAGGGTCCAGATGCAGAAGGCATTTCCCCCAAGGTCACCCTGGCTGAGAGCAACTGCAGTGTGAATAATTATTTCATCCATTTCTGGGTCAAGTTCCTCATCTTGAGTCTCTTTTTCCCACAACAGCCACCAGGCATGAACTGGCCCATGGTAAAACCCAGATAGCTCAGGGTCAAATCTACCAGTTATTGTAGGTGCTCACCAATGCCCTGGCACTGCACAAAGCACCATGCATTACAAAGAAACTCCACAAAGAGAAGGAAGTAAACAACTGTCTCCAAACTCAAGGAGATGACAGGGTTATGCTATATGATTTTTACCCTTAGATGAGTATCATTTGGGAGGTAAGTAGCAAGTCTGCTATGATAGAGTCAGTTAGGAAGGTCCTCCCAGGAGTGAGAAGCCCTGTATTAGTCAGCTTTGACCAGGTTCTGCTTCAATAACAACCACTCCCATGTTTCAGTGATTTCCAACAACAAAATTTGATTTTGTGTCTGTTACACATTGGTTGCAGGGCAACTGCATGCATTTACTGTACCTTCTTCACCTAGGACCCGGGCTGAAGCAGCAGCCAGGGCCACACCTCTCTTAAACCAGAGGGGAAAAGAGCAATAGCAGAACCATGGGGAACTTCCTAATGCTTCTACTTGGAAGTGGCATGTGTTACTTCTGTTTTGTGTTGGTTTGGGTTCCTAGGAGCAGATTTTACAACACGGCTTCAAACTCATACAGATTATTAGGGAGATATAGGAAACATCAATCAGGGAATGGAGAAATGAGACAAGGAAGGCAGTCAGGAGAACATGTGTTATCAAGCTAGCTACCACTGTGGACAACTCCAGTTCAGTCCCATGGAGAAATTCTGGAAAACAGGGCAAATCATGTGCCTTAGAATTACCCTCCTGAGGAACAAGGGAGCTGGTATATTTACACAACCAAACCTTCCAGACATGGGTTGAAGGCTACTCCTGAGGAGTTTTAATTTCCTAGCACTTCCAGCCCGTGTGTACACACAGAGAGTAGCCTTCTAGCTTCCGAGAAAGCACTCAGACAAAGAGATAGATGCTAGCAGTTACAAGTTGGCTGGAGTGCATTAGAGGGACAGAGAGGAGGGACGTGAGTGGGGCACTGAGAGCATCTGAGACATGCTCACATTTCTTTATCCAAAGGAATTCACGTGGCAAAGGACGTCTTCAGGGATAGAGAAGTGTAATCCTCCCACAGAGGTGCAGCAATACTTGAGAACCAAAACAGGCCCTGAACCCTGATTCATAAGTATAATAAACTCTAGTTGACACAGTACATGTAATAGATGGTTAACTGAGAGCTACCATCCAGACCAGGGTGTTTTGACCTCAGCACTATTGACATTTGGGGCTGGCTAATTCTTTGCCGTGGAGGACTGTTTTATGCATTATAGCATGTTTAGCAGCATTCCTGTCCTCTACCCACTTGGTGCCCATAGCCTCCCTCCCCTCACCTCATAATTGTGACAACCAAACATGTCTCCAGGTGTTGCCACGTGTTCCTAGGGGAAAAGTCACCCCTGTAGAGAGCCACTGATGTAGACCATATATGCATTGCTAATTCCCAAGGAACTGAAATAAATTGTGGATGCCTCGATGGAGGTGTGCACAGCCTGATGGGAGAGACAGACAGACAGACATATAAACTGTAATGGCCAGTCCACCCTGGGTAACAACAATTTGAATTATGTAAAGAAAACAGAAATAGTTCAGGAGTGGTAAACATCACTTTTGTTGCAGGCTGGGGATGGTCAGGGAAGTCTGCAGAGACAGAGACAGCAGAGCGGGGTTTTAAAGGATGAAGAGGAGTTTTTCGGATGAGTGATCCCACATGTAGAAGTTAATGTTTCTGCTTGAAAATGGCATGTGTTACTTTGGTTCTGTGTTGGTTTGGGTTCCTAGGAGCAGATTTTACGACAAGGATTCAAACTCACACCGTTTATGATCTTTGGTGATTGTGGAGACTTGGGAATGCTACACTGAGACTGATGCTGGAAATGCTGACCTCAGAGCCAGGCTGATGGCAGGGCTGTAGTTACACCAGCTTTACCATATCATTGATCATGTGTAAGGAGCAATGTCAAGGGCTTTGGAGGCACTTAGAGGAGTTGCCCAAATGGCATGGATACAACCCAGCCCCAGAGGGACCAGAAGCACCTTTGCTGTATTATTTTAGTCAAGGGAGAAAGCCAGCTTATTCCTCGGCCTCCTCAGTATCATCTCCTGACCCATCCACTTTGATGTTTGTCCCATGTGTTGTGCAAACAAAACTGGATGTGGATTTGTCACTTAACATCTCTCTGCCTCAGTTTCTTGACCTGTTAAACAGAGATCATAAGGTTTTCTCTCTTGCTAGTTTCACAGTCTTACTCTAAAACGCATTGGCTGTGCGTTCAGATGAACCTGCCCTGCTCTGCCATCCACCAGGTATGGACTTCTTTTTCTCCATTTTCTCATCTGTAATATGGGCTTAATACCCACCTCACAGGGTTGTCTTGAGGACTGAATTGTGTGATGTCTATAAGCCCTCAGCCCTGCACCTGGCACACACAGTAAGAGAATAAATGACCATAAATATTAAGAAATAGGTTGAGTGTGCATAATGATAGCTAACTTGTATTGAGTGCAGGTGATGTTCCAGGCACCATCATGGGGGTGTGTATGTATTAACCTATGACTACAATAGGTATCCTGATTATCTCCATTTTACATATGAAGAAACTAAGGCTCAGGGAAATCTGATCACTTACCTAATGTGTGTAGTTAGTGAGTGGTATTCAAACTTCAGCAGACTGTTGAGCAAGTAATTGCTTTGCTGGATTGTTTAGTGCTTGGCATTTTACCATAGCTCTTTGAAAAGAAAATCAAGTCTTTAGGTAGATAGTTACATTCACCAAATGATTAGAGCCAGTGTAGCTACTACTGGGTAAATGAACTTTTCTTACTATTGACTGAGGCCCCTTTAGTACACTTACAGAATATTAATAAGAAAGTAGGTGAGAAGAAATGTATTTTTAATCACAGTATCTGAGCTGGCTTCTCAGTGTGAGTCTACATGGGTAGATGATGAATCACCCCAAACTGACCCTTTCCAGAAATGCCTTGTGAGGGCAGCACAAAGGAAAACTTTCCATTGCTTAACTCTCCCCACAGCCCCCACCCTCAGCTATTGAAATAAAATGCCAAGAGGCTGCTTGCCAGCTCCTGGACACCACCTCCAGAACAGCAGGGAGTGTCTTCTCTCCCTTTGTGGCAGGGACACATATGGTGTTCTTAGTGTCAGAGCAAGCAGACTCTGTTCCAAGAGCTGCTTTTCAATCCAGCCTCTGTGCATGGGATGGCAGCAATGGAAAACAGTGCAGGGTCCTGGGTCTGAGGGTCATCCTCTTTCTGCCGGTGCCCCTGCCACCTGCTAAGCTCTTGTCTTTGGTGGAACAGGAAATACCACTCAGTGCAGGTACAGACCTAGCCTGCCTTGTACACCTCCGTGTCCTGGTCCTTTGTAGATGCTTGAATGAGAACCAATCAGTGAGGAAAAGGTATGATGCCCCTCCTGTTCAAAACACCTATTGAGTACCAAGTACTACACCCAGATATCATTTTCTTCCTTCTTTCTTTGGCTCAGGTCCTAGCTCCAGACCTTGTCAGCCACGTGTCCTGGAGCAAGTTATTTTCTCTCTCTTTGCCTCATCAAGAAGATGGACATAATAATAATTCCGTGCAGAGAGTTGCTGGAAGAACTCAGTATAAAGCAACTGGCTGACAGAAAGTGCTCTAAGTGCTAGTTCCTCTGTCATTTTGAGACCAAGCCAGATGTGTTAGAGATGTCCCTGGGGGAACTTGTATCCTGGAATTTGACAGCCTGGAGAGATCTGAAGGCATTCTCTGGTCCTGTACCCCAAATGAGGTTTGAAACCCTCCAATGAGCTCCCTATTTTGTAAGTTACAAAACCTTTGGCAACCGAGAAGAGGCATCTGTAGCAACTTTAGCTGTGTCCCAAGCTCCAAGCCATCCGCCCTTCCTTCCCCACTACCAGGCAACAGCCTGCTGTCTGCCTCCTACTCAGACATCCACGGTCTGGAACAACCCCAAAATTGTCATCTGGGGCAGAATACACAACACCCAAAAGATGGTTTTGCTTTCTGAACCTCACCTGCAGCCACTCCTGGCTTCTCCACTTCCCATCCTTTATGACATTCATGCTGCACACCTCCCCTTCTCTAGAGAGACAGTAAGCCTCTCCAGTGAGAGGCAGGGTGTGCAATAGTAACATGCATTGGCTCAGGAGTCCGACTTTGAGGGTCTGCCGCTGACCTGCTTTGTGAACTTCAGCAAGTTGCTCAG